>NC_000022.11:11681288-11724629 GCF_000001405.40 Homo sapiens
GATCTTCAGGCTCTGTCTCTGATTCTAGTGCTCTTGTTATTTCCACCATATCTGCAGTTACTTCCTCCACAGAAGTGGTGAACCCCTGTGTCATCAGTGAGGGTTGGAATAATCTTCCCAACTTTTCTCTCTCTCTTTTATTTTTTTGAGATGAAGTCTTGCCTGGGCTGGAGTGCAGTGATGCGATCTCAGCTCACTGCAACCTCCACCTCCCGTGTTCAAGCAATTCTCCTGCCTCAGCCTCCCAAGTGTTTGGGATTACTGTCACCCCCGACCAGGCCCAGCTAATTTTTTTGTTGTTTATAGTATAGACAGGATTTCACTATGTTGGCCAGGCTGGTCTCAAATTCCTGACCTCATGATCCACGTGCCTTGGCCTCCCAAAGTGCTGGGATTACAGGCGTGAGCCACCAAGCCCAGCCCCAACTTCTCCTAATGTTGCTATTTTGATCTTCTTTTTTAAATCATGAATGTTCTCAATGGCATCTAGAATGGTGAATCCTTTCCAGTAGGTTTTCAATTATTTTGCCCAGATCCATCAAAGGAATCACTTGCTAGAGAAGCTATAGCTTTATGAAATATATTTTTTAAGTGATAAGACTTGAAAGTTGAAATTATTCTTTGATCCAAGGGCACCAGAATGAATGTTGGGTTAGTAGGCATGAAAACAATATTCAGCTCTTTATACATCTCTGTAAAAGCCCTTGAGTACCAGGGGCATTGTCAGTGAGTGGTAATACTTTGAAAGGAATCTTATTTCTTGAGCGGTAGTTGTCGACAGTGGGCTTAAGATATTCAGTAAACCGTATTTGTAAACCGATAGTCTGTCATCCAGGCTTTGTTCCCATTTGTAGAGTACAGGCAGAGCTGTGTTTTATCATAATTCTTCAGGGCCCTTGGATTTTCAGAATAGTAAATCATCATTGGTTTCATGTTAACATCACAAACTGCATTAGGCCTTAACAAAAGAGTCAGCATGTCCTTTGAAGCCTTAAATCCAGGCATCAACTCCTCTCTAGCTGGGAACATCCTGGATGGCATCTCCTTCTAGTAGAATGCTGTTTTGTCTTCATTGCAAATCTGTTTAGTGTAGCCATCTTAATCAATTATCTTCTAGATAGCTTTCTGCAGCTTTTCCATCAGTACTTGCTGCTTTATCTTGCGCTTTTATGTTATGAAGATGACTTTTTTCCTTAAACCTCAAGAAACAAGCTCTTCTAGCTTCACACTCTTCTTCTGCAGCTGCCTCACCTCTCTAAGTCTTCATAGAATTGAAGAGAGGCCGGGTGTGGTGGCTGTCACACCTGTAATCCTAGCACTTTGGGAGGCCGAGGCAGGCAGATCACCTGCGGTCGGGAGTTCGACACCAGTCTAACCAACGTGGAGAAACCCCGTCTCTACTAAAAATACAAAAAATTAGCCAGGTGTGGTGGTGCATGCCTGTAATCCCAGCTACTCAGGATGCTGAGGCAGGAGAGCTTGAACTTGGGAGGCAGAGGTTGCGATGAGCCAAGATCACGCTATTGTACTCCAGCTTGGGCAAGAAAAATGAAACTCTGTCTCAAAAACAAAAAAAAAAGTAAAAAGAGAGTTAGGCTTAGGCTTAGTGGATTTTTTTTATCTTCTATCTAGATCAATTAAACTTTCTTCATAACAGCAGCAAGATTGTTTAGCTTTTTATCATTCATGTATTCACTGGAGTAATACTTTAAATTTCTTTCCAGAACACTTCCTTTGCATTCACAACTTGGCTAAGTGTTTGTTGCATGAGGTCTAGCTACTGGCCTGTCTTGCTTACAGCATGCCTTAATCACTAAGCTTAATTATTTCTTTCTTTTGGTTTAAAGTGACAGACATACAAGTCTTCTTTCACTTGAACATACAGAGGCTATTGTAGGGTTATTAATTGGCCACATTTTAATATTAATAAAAAGAAGCCTGAGAAAAAGAGAGAGAAAGAGAAATGGCCCGTTGGTGGGGCAGTCAGAACAAACGCATTTGTCAATTGTTTGCTGTCTTATCCTGGTGTGATTTGTGGTTCCCAAAACAATGACAACAGTAGCATTAAAGATCACTCATTACAGATCACCATAACGATTCAATAATAAAAATCTTAAAATACTGTGAGAATGACCGAAATGTGACACAGAGACGTGAAGTGAGCACGTGCTGTAGGAACAATGGTGCCAGTCAGACCTGCTTATTGCAGGGTGGCCACAAACCTTCAATATGTAAAACACATGGTCACAAAACACAATAAAGCAAAGTGCAGTGAATCAAGTCTTTTGATAGACTCTGACAATCTCTATCTTTGAATTGGTACATTCATACCATTAGCATTCAAAGTGATTATTGATATCATTGGATTAATATCTACTATATTTGTTACTGTTTTCTATTCATTCTCCTCAGTCTCCATTCTTTTGTCTACCAGTCTTTTTCTGCCTTTTGCAGTTTTCATTGATGATTTTAGATGACTACATTTTCCCTGTCTTTCTTAGCATGTACTTCTCTTTTTAAAACTTTTTTTAACTAGTTGCCACAGAATTTGCGATATACATTTACAACAAATTCAAGTCCACTTTCAAATAACACTATCCCACTATCCCACGAATAAGACTACCTGCTTAACAAACAAAACACCTAATTCCTCAGTAACATTTATAACAAATTCAAGTCCACTTTCAAATAACACTATCCCACTATCCCACAAATAAGACTACCTGCTTAACAAAGAACACACCTAATTCCTCAATATACATTTACAACCAATTAAAGTCCACTTTCAGATAACACTATCCCACTTCACGGGTGACTACCTGCTTAACAAAGAAAACACCTGATTCCTCCCTCCCATCCTTCCATTCCATTCCTTGTATTATTGTTCCTTATTTCACTTGTGTATAAGCATACATAATCTATCTGTGTGTATTTATTATTATCTACAAACTTATTGGTCAGATCAATTATGAATAAATACATGTTTTTATTGTACCACAATTCCTCCCTCCCATCCTTCCATTCTATTCCTTGTATTAGTGTTACTCATTTCACTTGTGTTTAAGCATACATAATCTATCTGTGTGTATTTGTTATTGTCTATGAACTTCTTGGTCAGATCAATTAAGAATAAATACATAGGTTTTTATTGTACCACAATTCTTTAATGCTCTTTTTAAAAAAATGTTGATCCAGGTTTCAGTTATATATCTTTTGTTTCCCTCTAAAGAATTTCATTTAACATTTCTTGCAAGACAGGTCTCCTGGCAACAAGTTTCTTGAATTTTTATTTTTCTGAGGAAGGCCTTAATTCTCCTTCACTTTTGAAGGGTGGTTTCAGTGGGTACAGAAACTTAGGTTGGTGGGTTTTTTCTGTCAACATTTTGATTTTTTCATTTCACTGTCTTCTTGCTTTCACAGTTTCTGCAATGTTGAATGCAGTTCTTATCTTTGTGTCTCTGTAGGTAAGGTGTTTTCTGCCCCACCTCTGGTTTCTTTCAGAGTTTTCCTTTATTTTTTATTTCATATAGTTTGAAAATTATATGTCCAAGTGTAGGTTGTTGGCATTTATTCTGCCAGGTGTTCTCAGAGCTTCCTGGATCTTTGGTTTGGTGTCTGACATTAATACTGGAAGTTCTCAGACATGGTTGTTGCAGAACTTTCTTCTATTTCTTCTCCTCCTCCTGGTATTCTCATTACTCTGTTTCACCTTTTGTAGTTGTCCCACAGTCTTGGATATCACCTTCTGTTCTTTTCAGTGTTTCTTTTCTTTAGTTTTCGAAGTTTCTGATGATAAATCCTCAAGCTCAGAGATTCTTTACTCAGCTGAGTCCAGTCTACTAATAAGCCATCAGAGGTATTCTTCAGTTATTTACCACATTTTTTACCACTACATTATGTTGAAGGTTCTTACGATGTCTGTCTTTCTGATTACATTACCCATCTATACTTGAATGCTGTCTAGTTCATTCATTAGGCCCTTAGCATATTCTCCAGAGGTTTAAAAAAAATTCCAAAATCATATCTTTGTCTGCTTCTGAAGCTTGCTCTGTTGACACAAATTATATTTTTTTCTTTTTTTGGATTTTAGTATGCCTTGCAATTTTTTCCCTTTATTCTCATGCATGAAGCACCCACTAAAAGTGACTGCTGTTAGTATAGCTTTAGTAATGCGGTGATGAGGTGACAGGGCAGGTGATGCTCTCTTAGTCTCTTTAGGCTACTATAACAAAATACTTTAGACTGAGTAATTCATAAACAACAGAGATATTGCTCACAGATCTGGAGGCTGGAAAGTCCAAGACTAAAGGGGCAGGATATTTAGTGTTTGGTGAAGGTCAAACATTCAGACACTCGCAACGACTATAGTGACAGCAGCAGTCTTCAGGAATCCTATGTGAGGGACAAACACTCAGAAGCCAGCTGGAGTGTTCCAGAATCCTATGTGAGGAACAATCAGACCACAGCAGGAATGTTCTGGAATCCTATGTGAGGGGCAAACATTCAGACCACAGCAGGAGTGCTCTGTAATCCTATGTGAGGGACAAACATTTCAAAACCTCGTAGCAGTGTGCTGGAATGTTATGTCAGGGACAGACATTTAGACCCTCGCAGCAGTGTTCTAGAATCTCATCTGCAGGACAAACATTCAGACACTCGCAGCAGTGTTCTGGAATTCTATGTGAGGGACATTCAAACCCCAACAGCAGTGTTCTAGAATCCTATGTGAGGAACAGACGTTCAGACCCCAGCAGCAGTGTTCTGGAATCCTATGTGAGGTACAAACATTCAGATACCAGCAGAAGTGTTCTGGAATCCTATGTGAGGGACAAACATTCAGACCCTCGTAGCACTGTTCTGGAATCCTATGTGAATGGCAAAAATTCAGACCATGGCAACAATGCTCAGGAATCCTATGTGAGGGACAAACATTCAGACCCTCCTAGCAGTGTTCTGGAATCTTATGTGAGGGACAAATATTCAAACCACAGCAGCAGTGTTCTGGAATCCTATGTGAATGACAAACTTTCAGACCACAGCAGGAGAGTTCTGGAATCCTATGTGAGGGACAAACTTTCAGACAAAAGCAGGAGTGTTCTTAAATCCTATATGAAGGACAAATATTCAGACCCCAGGAACACTGTTCTGAAATCCTATGATAAGGGCAAACATTCAGACCCCAACATGAATGTTCTGGAATCCTATGTGAGGGACAAGCATTAAGACCATAGCAGGAGTATTCTGGAATCCTATGTGAGGGACAAACATTCAGACCCTTGTAGCAGTGTTCTGGAATCCTATGTGATTAACAAACATTGAGACCACAGCAGGAGTGCTCTGGAATCCTATGTGAGGGACAAACATTCAGACACCAGAAGGAGTGTTCTGGAATCCTATGTGAAGGACAGACATTTAGACCCTCGAAGCAGTGTTCTGCAGTCTTAAGTGAGGAACAAAAATTCAGACCCTAGTAACAGTGTTCTGGAATCCTTTTTTGAGGGACAGACATTGAGACCTCAGCAGCAGTGGTCTGGTATCCTATGTGAGGGACAAACATTCACTCCCCAGCAACAGTGTTCTGTAATCGTATGTGAGGGACAAGCATTCAGACCCCAGCAGCAGTGTTCTGGAATCTTATGTGAGGGACAAACATTGAGACCCTCGTAGCAGTGTTCTGGAATCCTACGTGAGACACAAACATTCGTACCACAGCAGAAGTGTTCTGGAATCTTATGTGAGGGACAACCATTCAGACCACAGCAGGAGTGTTCTGGAATCCTATGTGAGGGACAACCATTCAGACCACAGCAGGAGTGTTCTGGAATCCTATGTGAGGGACAAATATTCAGACCCTCATGGCAGTGTTCTGGAATCCTTTGTGAGGGACAAACATTCACACCCCAGCAACACTGTTCTGTAATCGTATGTGAGGGACAAGCATTCAGACCCCAGCAGCAGTGTTCTGGAATCTTACGTGAGGGGCAAACATTGAGACCCTCGTAGCAGTGTTCTGGAATCCTACGTGAGACACAAACATTCGTACCACAGCAGAAGTGTTCCGGAATCTTATGTGAGGGACAACCATTCAGATCACAGCAGGAGTGTTCTGGAATCCTTTGTGAGGGACAACCATTCAGACCACAGCAGGTGTGTTCTGGAATCCTATGTGAGGGACAAATATTCAGACCCTCATAGCAGTGTTCTGGAATCCTTTGTGAGGGACAAACATTCAGACCCCAGGTGGAGGGTTCTGGAATCCTGTGTGAGGGACCAACATTCAGACCCTCGTAGCAGTGTTCTGGAATGCTATGTGAAAGACAACCATTCAGACCCTCATAGCAATGTTCTGGAATCCTATGTCAGGGACATTCAGAGCCCAGCCGCAGTGTTCTGGAATCCTATGTGACAGACAAACATTCAGACCACAGCAGGAGCGTTCTGGAATCCTATGTGACGGACAAACGTTCAGACCATAGCAGTAGTGTTCTGCAATCCAATGTGAGGGACAAACATTCAGAGCCCAGCAGCAGTGTTCAGGAATCCTATGTGAGGGACCAACAATCAGACCCTCGTAGCAGCGTTCTGAAATCCTATGTGAGGGACAAACATTCAGAACCCAGCTGCAGTGTTCTGGAATCCTATGTGACAGAAAAACATTCCGACCACAGCAGCAGTGTTCTGGAATCCTATGTGCGGTACAAACTTTCAGACCACAGCAGGAGAGTTCTGGAATCCTATGTGAGGGACAAACTTTCAGACCCCAGGAGCAGTGTTCTGAAATCCTATGTTAAGGGCAAGCATTTACATCCCAGCGTGAATGTTCTCGAATCCTAGGTAAGGGACAAACATTCAGACCACAGCAGGAGTGTTCTCGAATCCTATGTGAGGAACAAACATTCAGACCACAGAAGGAGTGTTCTGGAATACTATGTGAGGGACATTCATACCCTCTTAGGAGTGTTCTGGAGTCCTATGTGATGAACAAACTTTCAGACCACAGCAGGAGTGTTCTGGAATCCTATGTGAGGGTCAAACATTCAGACCCCAGCAGTAGTGTTCTGGAATCCTATGTGAGGGCAAACATTCAGACCCACGTGGCAGTGTTCTGGAATCCTATGTGAGGGACAAACATTCAGAACCTCGTAGCAGTGTCCTGAAATCTTATGTGAGGGAGAGACATTTAGACCCTCGCAACAGTGTTCTGGTATCCCATGTGAGGGACAAACATTCAGACCCTCCCAGCCGTGTTCTGGAATTCTATGTGAGGGAAAGACATTCAAACCCCAGCAGCAGTGCTCTGGAATCTGATTTGAGGGGCAGACATTCAGACCCCAGCAGCAGTGTTCTGGAATGCTATGTGAAGGACAAACATTCAGACCACGGGAGCAGTGTTCTAGAATCCTACGTGAAGGACAAACATTAAGACTCTCATAGCAGTGTCCTGGAATCATATGTGAGGAACAACCATTCAGACACCAGCAGAAGTGTTCTGGAATCCTAGGTGTGGGAAAAACATTCAGAACCTAGTAGCAGTGTTCTGGAATCCTATGTGAGGGACATACATTCAGACCACGGCAGCAGTGTTCTGGAATGGTATGTGAAGGACAAACATTCAGACCCTTGTAGCAGTGTTCCGGAATTCTATGTGAGGGACAAACATTCAGACCACAGCATCAGTGTTCTGGAATCCTATATGGCAGACCAACATTCAGACCCTTGCAACAGTGTTCTGGAATACTAGGTGAGGGAGAAATAGTCACACCCTTGTAGCAGTGTTCTGGAATTCTATGTGACTGACAAACATTCAGACTCCAGCAGCAGTGTTCTGTAATCCTATGTGAGCGACAAACATTCAGACCCCAAGGGCAGTGTTCTGAAATCCTATGTTAAGGGAAATATTGAGACCCCAGCATGAATGTTCTGGAATCCTATGTGAGGGACAAACATTCAGACCACGGCAGGAGTATTCTGGAATCCTATGTGAGGAACAAACATTCAGACCACAGCAGAAGTGTTCTGGAATCCTATATGAGGGATAAGCATTCAGACCCTCGTAGCAGTGTTCTGGAATCCTATGTGAGGGAGAAGCATTCAGAGCACAGCAGGAGTGCTCTGGAATCCTATGTTAGGGACAAACATTCAGAACCTCGTAACATTGTTCGGGAATCCTGTGTGAGGGACAGACATTTAGACACTCGCAGCAGTGTTCTGGAATCCCATGTGAGGGTCAAACATTCAGATCCTCACAGCAGTGTTCTGGAATTCTATGTGAGTGACAACCATTCAGACTCCAGCAGCAGTGTTCTGTATTCCTATGTGAAGGACAAACATTCAGAATCCAGGAGCAGTGTTTTGAAATCATATGTTAAGGGCAAACATACAGACCCTAGCATCAATGTTCTAGAATCATATGTGAGGGACAGACATTCAGACCCTCGCAGCAGTGTTCTGGAATCCTAGATGGGGGACAAACATTCAGACCCCAGCAGCAGGCTTCTGGAATCCTATGTGGGGGACAAACATTCAGACAATGGCAGCAGTGTTCTGGAATCCTACGTGAGGGACAAACACTCAGAGCCTTGTAGCAGTGTTCTGGAATCCTATGTGAGTGAGAGTGCCTGGAGCCTACCCAACCTGACGCCCCCAAAGCCTTCACAGGGTCTGACCTCCCAGCATGCACCTGCCTCTCCCTGAACCCCAACTGCCCACCCTGCCTTTTCCCTGGCCTCCTCCATCCTGTGCAGCCCATAGACTGTGACCATCTCTCCAGCCACTCTGGCCCTTCCTTTACCTTTGTCCTGTCAGAATCTCTGAGCAGGATCTCCCAGGTCCATCCAAATACGTGCTTTGTCCACTTTTGACTAGGCCCTTGGGCATCACTGGGCTATCCCAGCTGTCCACAGGGCCTTCAATAATGCACATTGCACCTGGCTTATCCAAGCAGTGCTCAGCAGCCCACATTGACCAGGTCCCTGCTGACCAGACCCCACACATCAGGTCCTCCCTGATGACACCCTCACTGATTAGACCCTCATGACCAGGCCCCACTAACAAGGCCCCCACTGCCAGGCCCACAATGACAAGGACTCCACTGACCAGGACCTTACTGACAAGGACTCACTGACAAGGCCTCACGGACCAAGTCCTTACTGACAAGTCCTCACTGAGTAGGTCATTATTGACAAGGCCTCACTGATCAAGTTCCACTGATCATGACCTCATTCCCTGGCCCCAAAGATGAGGCCCCACTGACCAGACCTCCAGGGAACAGGTTGCCACTGATCAGGCCCCTAATAACCAGGCCTAAGATCACCAGATGCCCCTGACTGGGACCCTAGTGAGTAGACCCCACTGAACTGGCACCAAATGCTGAGATCTCCGCTGACCAGGTCACCCTGTAGACCAGTGCTGCAAAAGTCACCACTGACCAAGTCGTCTCTGACCAGGATGCTACAGATTAGGTCCCGCTGACAAGGCTGCCCTGACCAGGGCCCCACTGACAAGGGCCTCACTGATGAGGACATGCCCACCAGGGTCTGCTGACTAGGTCCCATGTGCCCAGTCCTCCACTGAATAGCACCCCTTGACCTGGTCACCAGTGCCCCAGCCCATGCTGACCAGGCCAGCACTAAGCCCCAGCTGACCAGGTCTCCACTGATCAAGCCCCACAGCCCAGGTTTGCACTGACCAGACACCAAACAACTGGCAGCCAATAGGTCCCCACTCACCAAAACCCCACTACTAGACCCCACTAATGAGACCCTCTCTAAGCAGACCCCTGCTGACCACGATCCCACTAAATAGTCCTCACTGACCTAGGTCCACTGACCAGGCCCACACTGATCAGGTCCCTCCTAACCACACCGGAAATCCAAGCGGCAATGACATGTTTCATATGGCAGAAGTTGGAACAAGACAGAGAGAGGAAAGAGGTTCCACAGCCTTTTAAACTACTAGATCTCATGAGAACTCACTCACTATCAGGAGGATGGCATTAAGGGCTTGGTGCTTTGCCATTTGTGAAGGATCCACTCCCACCCCTTTATGATTAAAGCTTTTTCCACCTAGGCACCGACTCTAACATTAGGGAGTGTACTTTCACATGAGTTTTGGAAGGGGCATAGAGAAAAACCGTATTATTCTGTCCCTGACCCCACAAATCTCATGTCCTTCTCACATTGCAAAATACAGTCATGCCTTGCCAGCAGTCTCCCAAAGTCTTAACTCATTTCAGCATTAACTCAAAGTTACAAAGTCCAAAGTCTCATCTGGGTCAAGGCTACATTCTCTTTTGCCTACGAGTCTCTGAAATAAAAAGCAAGTTCACTGTGTCTAAGGTACAATGATGGTACAGGCATTGTGTAAGCTTTCTATATCCAAAAGAGAGACATTTTCCAGAAAGCTTCTTATTTTTATCTGAGGCCCCCTCAGCCTGGCCTTCACTGTCCATGTTTTTGTCAGCATTCTTGTCACAGCCATTTAACCAGTCTCTAAGATGGTCCAAAAATGTTCTCATCTGTCTGTCTTCTTTGGATCCCTCCAAACTCTTCCAACCTCTACCCATTACCCAGTTCCGAAGTTGCTTCCACATTTTCAGGTATCTTTATAGGAATGCTCCAGTCCTCATTTGCCATTTTTGGTAAGATTTATTTTGAAAAAGAGGTTTAATTGGCTCATGGTTCTGCAGAGTGGACAGGAAGCTTAGTGCTTCTGCTTCTGGGGGGCCTCAGAAATCTTTCAATCATTGTGCAAGGTAATGAAAGAGTGAATTGTCTCACATGGCAAGAGGAAATCACGGAGAGTAGGGAGTGA
The DNA here is from genome assembly GCF_000001405.40 of Homo sapiens. Taxonomy (NCBI): domain Eukaryota; kingdom Metazoa; phylum Chordata; class Mammalia; order Primates; family Hominidae; genus Homo; species Homo sapiens. The sequence goes on from NC_000022.11 coordinate 11,692,101, forward strand.
TATAGAGTTTTCAGTGGCCAGATCTCACGAGAAGTCACTCATGATTGTGAGGACAGTACCAAGGGGATGGTGCTGAACCACTCATGAGAAATTTGCCTTCATGATTCAATCACCTTATACCAGGATCCACCTCCAACATTAGGAAGCATAACTCAACATGAGATTTGGTGGGGACACATATTCGAATTGCCTCATCAGTCTTTGAGTATAAAGACATCCATAGCAGGCTTTATCCAGCCAGCTTCTTTGGGGTTCTTTATAGGGTTTCTGGTCTATAGCATATCCACTAAAATATTCCTACTTCAAAAGGCAATAAAGTAAGTGGTATTATCATTCTTCAAAAAGTTATAATGGTAGTGTAGGCATTCATAGTATGATTTAGTTCATTTGCTACTGTTTCTATTCTATCACCATATTAACACTTTCCTACACAAGTCTATATTCAGCTGGGTTTCAGTTGAGCACAAAGTCATCCTTGTACTACCACCGATAGCTGGCACCAGCCCTTTGATACTGTTATCATTCTGCTGTAGAAAGTACCCGTGCACTGGAAAAAGTCCACACTCGAATAGCTAGTCATTCAACACTATCAAATTTTAGGTGACTTTTTGAAAAAATAGTATCTCTTGTTGCAAGAAATGTTCCATCTGTGATTTCAAGTCTCTCGCTTGAGTGGATTGGATAGAAGTGGTGAATTTCAGCCAAAGTGGCCAAAGAAATCCTGTTCCTGTGATAATGATGCCATCAGCCTCTGTACCTCTGTCTTCCCTTCTGCCACATGTTGCCTGTTCTCCGTGACTGTCGTAAGAGCTTCCTTGTATATGAGGATGATGTCCAGGATGTTGGTCTGGTGTCCCTGAGACAGCACTAACAGGTCCATGGCTGGGTCCAGGTCCTTCCTGGACGGATTGGCAAGGAGCTCACTGATGTTCTTGAAGGCATCTCTGGTGAAGTGGATGGCCTAGTCAAGTTCCAAGGCCTGGCTGAGGCCGAAGAAAAACTGGCCGCCTTCTGAAGCTCTTTCTAAAAGCCTGTCACTGTCATCTGCTTGCATGTCAACTCATTGGCTGTGAGGTTGAGCTGAGTGGCCTGTGTCCATCTTCTTGGGGAAGTATTTGAAGCCATCAATCTTGCTCTCCCACCCCTAAAGGTTGATGGTCACCACCTGGGGGTGTGCTGAGGGTCAGAAAGAAGCCAGCACTCACCATCTCATCCTTCTCAGCCTTCCTCTTGCACTCTCTCCAGGCTGTCTCTTCAGTGCTGGTGGGATATATCAGAAAGTGATGGAAGATGTGGCACTGTGCCCACACCCAGAAGCTGGCCATGTGGTTGGCTCATCCACCAGAATGGATGCTCTGGTTGCTCTTTGAACCAGCTTGGCCTTGCCTGGCATGTACAGGCCCCAGGTACAGACACGTTGCTCTGAGTGAACTTGTCCTGCCTTGGGCCAAATTCTGTCAGGCCAGGGTCACAAAAGGCCGAGTTCCACGGGTGGTAATCCTGGCTGCTTTCTGCACTGCAACATAAAGACCTACTGAAGATGGCCTGTGGTCTGCCTCTTTGCAACCAAGAAGCCCGCAGTGCCATATGAGCCCTGAGGCATGGACTGGAGCCCCCAAGGCAGCGCACACGCTGCTCCTGAGCCTGCTGCTCATTTTCTCTGTGTGGCTCCATTTGTGTCACAGTTGTTGCACTGACTAGTGCATACTGAGGAAGGCCAGGCTGGCTCAAAAAGCAACCGGCCACCTCTGCAAGGGTGTGCCTGGAGCTGGTGGACCAGCCACCAACCTGACTTGCTGCCGGTCGGGTTACATCAGTTCTTCTACCCTACAGTTAGGGCCACAGTGCTATCTGCTTTTCCTTAGGCCTCTGCTCCATCAGCCATCAGGAGGCAGCCCCTCAGGCTGTAGGAATCTGGCCATCCCTGCTTCCTTGAGTGGGTGAGGTTGGTGGTTGCTCCACCTGCTCCAGGCACACCCTTGCAGAGGTGGCTGCTTGCTCTTTGATCCAGCTTGGCCTTGCCTGGCATGCACAGGCCCCAGCTACCTATATGCCGTTCCAAGTCAGCTTGTAGTGTGTTGGGCCAAATTCTACCTCTGGCCAGGGCCACAGAAGGCCGAGTCCCCTGGGTGCTAATCCTGGCTGCTTTCTGCACTTGAACATAAAGTCCTCCTCAAGACCGTCTGTGGTCTGCCTCTTGGCGACCAAGAAGCCTACAGTGCCATACGAGCCCTGAGGCATGGACTGGAGCCACAAAGGCAGTGCACGCCCCATTCCTGAGCCTGCTGATCATTTCCTCTTTATGGCTCCATTTGTTGTACACTTGTTGCAGTGAGGCTTGTGCATGCCAGGCAAGGCCAAGCTGGCTCAAAGAGCAAGCAGCCACCTCTGCAAGGTGTGCCAGGAGCAGGTGGACCAGCCGTCAACCTCACTCACTGTCAGACGTGGTACATCAGTTCTTCTACCCTAAAGGTGGGGCCGAGAAGTAGACCACAGGCCATCTTGAGGAGGACTTTATGTTCAAGTGCAGAAAGCAGGCAGGATTACCACCCAGGGGACTCAGCCTTCTGTGGCCCACAGTGCCATATGAACCCCGAGGCATGGACCGGTGCCATCTGCTTTATACAAAAATTAACTTAAGATAGATTAAAGAGTTAAACATGCCACCTGCTTTTCCTCAGGCCTCTGCTCCATCAGCCATCAGGAGGCAGCCACTCAGGCTGTGGAAACCTGGCCATCCTGGCTTCCTTCAGTGGGTGAGGTTGGTGGCTGGTCCACCTGCTCCAGGCACACCCTTGCAGAGGTGGCTGGTTGCTCTTTGAGCCAGCTTGGCCTTGACTGGCATGCACAGGCCCCAGGTACTGACACGTTGCTCTGAGTGAGCTTGTCCTGCCTTGGGCCAAACTCTGTCAGGCCAGGGTCACAAAAGGCCGAGTCCCACGGGTGGTAATCCTGGCTGCTTTCTGCACTTCAAAATAAAGGCCTCCTGAAGATGGCCTGTGGTCTGCCTCTTTGCACCCAAGAAGCCCGCAGTGTCATATGAGCCCTGAGGCATGGACTGGAGCCCCCAAGGCAGCGCACACCCTGCTCCTGAGCCTGCTGCTCATTTTCTCTGTATGGCTCCATTTGTGTCACAGTTGTTGCACTGACTTGTGCATGCCGGGCAAAGCCAAGCTGGCTCAAAAAGGAACCAGCCACGTTTGCAAGGGTGTGGCTGGAGTGATTGGACTAGCCATCAACGTCACCCACTCAAGGAAGCAAGGAATGCGTGTTTGTACCATGCATTTCATTACAGGTACATTTCCCCTGAGGTTGTTGGCCTAGGTTTCTTCTAGATTTTTTATTGTTTTAGGTCTTGCATTTAACTCTTTCATCCATATTACTTAATTTTTGTTTAAGGTGTATGGGTGTGGCCCAGTTTCAGTTTTCTGCATAAGGCTAGCCAGTTTTCCCAAGATCATTTATTAAATAGGGTATCCTTTACCCATTGCTTGTTTTTGTCAGGTTTGTCAAAGATCAGATGCTTTTAGATGTGTGGTGTCATTTCTGAGGCCTCTGTTCTGTTCCATTGGTCTATAGATCTGATTTGGTACCAGCCCCATGCTGTTTTGGTTACTGTAGTCTTGTAGAATAATTTGAAGTCAGGTACTGTGATGCCTCTAGCTTTGTTGTTTTTGCTTAGGATTGTCTTGGCTATGTGGGCTCTTTTATGGTTCCATATGAAATTTAAAGTAGTTTTTCTAATTCTATGAAGAAAGTCAATGGTAGCTTAATGAGGATAGCAATAAATCTATAAATTACTGTGGGTGGTATAGCACTCAGGCACATAAATGTCCTTGTGTTAGGCAATACCATTCAGGACAGAGCCATAGGCAGAGACTTCATCACCAGAACACAAAAAGCAATGGCAACAAAAGCCAAAATTGACAAATGGGATCTAACTAAACTAAACAGTATCTGCAGTGCAAAAGAAACTATTATCAGAGTGAACAGGCAACCCACAGAATGGGAGAAAATTGTTGCAATCTATCCATCTGACAAAGGGCTAATATGCAGAATCTACAAAGAACAAACTTACAAGAAAAAAAAAAACAAACAACCCCATCAAAAAGTGGACAAAGGATATGAACAGACACTTACCAAAGAAGACATTTATACAGCCAACGAACATGTGAAGCAAAGCACATCATCACTGGTCATTAGAGAAATGGAAATCAAAACCACAATGAGATACAATCTCACAGCACTTAGAATGGCTATCGTTAAAAAATCAGGGAACAACAGATGCTGGACAGGATGTGGAGAAATAGGAACGCTTTTACACAGTTGGTGGGAATATAAATTAGTTCAACCATTGTGGAAGACAGTGTGACAATTCCTCAAGGATCTACAACTAGAAATATCATTTGACCCAGCAATCCCATTACTGGGTAAATACCCCCAAAATTATAAATCATTCTAATATAAAGACACATGCACCTGTCTGTTTATGGCGGCACTTTTCACAAAACCAAAGACTTGGAACCAACCCAAATGCCCACCAATGATAGACTGGATAAAGAAAATGTGGCATATATACACCATGGAATACTATGTAGCCATAAAAAGGATGAATCCACGTCCTTCGCTGGGACATGAATGAAGCTGGAAAGCATCATTCTCAGCAAACTAACACAAGAACAGAAAACCAAACACCACATGTTCTCACTCATAACTTGGAGTTGAACAATGGGAACACATGGACACAGCAAGGGGAACATCACACACCAGGGCCTGTCAGCGTGGGGGGCTAGGAGAGGGATGGCATTAGGAGAAATAACTAATGTAGATCATGGGTTGATGGATGCAGCAAGCCGCCATGGCATGTGTATACCTATGTAACAAACCTGCATGTTCTGCACATGTACCCCAGAACTTAAAGTATAATTTAAAAAAAAAGAAATTTGCTTTAAATTAAGCTTTTAATCATAGAACCTGTAAAGAAACCCCTTTTGAATCTTTTACTACCACATCATAGCTGGGACAAACTGCTGACGTTTTAAAAGTAACACAAATATCAAACAGAAAGAACTAGACTTAGGAACCAAACTCAGGTTTCTGTAGTGAACAGGGCAGAATCTTCACATTGGGTCACCACCACTACTCCTTCAGTTTGGCCTTGGCTAGCAAAAGGATGACCTTTTTATGTAGATGAGACCAGTTACGTAAAAAAAAAGGTTTAAAAAATAATTTCTGCTAACTGGAATGCTTTTTTTTGTTGTTTATTTGTTTGTTTTTTTGCAGCCATAGGAGTTTTAGCCAATTCAGAGGACTTGCTCCCCATAATTTGGAACATTCCTTTGGATTTGACCAAGTCAGGAAGAGATGGGAGAAAAGTGAAACAACAACAATAAAACCCCAAGCATAAACAAACAAAAAGAGTTAAGCAAAACAACAACTGCACAATTCATATGATTACTGAGTGTTCTAATGGTAAGGAGAGTGGTGAAGCCATGCGTGGTGATGTAGAATACTTCCACATCTCTGGTGAGGAGCTGCCCCTTGGGTCTGAGTTTCTGGGAGGGGAGAGGGAGAAGCTGGGTGAGGCAGGCATGAATCTTGAGGAGTCAGGGCTGGGGGACCACTCATATTCTCCCGAGACCTGTGAGTCTCTGGGGGACTCCTGGGTGCATGGGGCTGACTCCCACAGGAACCTGGGGATGGCTGGAGAGTAACTGGGAGCCACAGGAGAGTCCCTGAGGCCTGGGGGTGAAGAGATGAAAGACACAGGGGTGGAGCACCGTGAGGCTCATGAGTTTGTAGGTGATTCCTGGGTGTGGGGGGCTGACTCCAGCTGAAATCTGGGGTTGTTTGGAGAGTAGCTGGGAGACAAAGGAGACCCCCCGAGAGCTGGGGGTGAGCTGCTGGGTGATGGCAGTAAGAGCATGTGGTATATTATTGATGAACGTGGGGACTCTGAGGAATCCTCAGAGGAGGACACGGGAGAGCCCAATGTCTTCATTGATTGCCCATCACGGTGAGGACAGGGAAATGGGAGCTTGTGGGATTCTGGTGATGACAGAGGTGAGTGTGGTGAAGCCCTAGGGGATGGTGAATGGTAGCTCCGGATCCCTGGTGAGGAGCTTCCCCTTAAGCAAGAGATTCTGAGAGGGGAGAGGAAGAAGCTGGGTGAGGCTCGCATGGACCTTGGGGAGTCTGGGCTGGGGGACCGTTCATAAGAAGAGCCAGACAAGACCCTACTGTTCTTAGGTGCAGACATGATTAGGAAACCTGCAGCTCCCAGGGGCCCGTACCAATTTTCTAACTCGAAGAAGGAAGGAGTGTGTGTGTGCGCGCGTGTGTGTGTGTGTGTGTGTTTGTGTGTGCGGTGTGTGTTTGTGTGTGTGCGGTGTGAGGTATGTGCCCCTTAAGAAAATGGAAATCAACCAACCAATGAGACAGACAGACAGACAGACAGAGATTCACTTGCCCACGTGTTCTGTCCTGTCCTCTGAATCCGCTTCCAAGTCGCAAGACACTGTGAGCTCCAAGTCCACGCAGAGTCCGCCAAACGCTCCGGCCGCTGATCCGCTCCGCGAAGATCTGAGTACAGGCCAGCCAGGGTGGGTTTAAATAGCCTCGGGCGCAGCCTAGCAGCGGAAAGGGCGGAGCTTCACTCCTCCTTTCCATCAGTCACCCCCAACTTTCCCAGGCTACACCTGGTAGGAAACTGTTCTCCTGCTTTGATTTCATGCGCCACCTTTGGGACAATCTAAGAACTTACAAGTTTTCTTGGCCAGATATATTAGGAATTGTATGCACTGAAACACTGAAAACCAACTAGTGGTTCTGTGGTTCCCACGTTGTGGTTTTGACACCAGCAGCATCCTTGCCACAATCAAACCCCGGAGATGCACAGATCTGTGTTGTAACAAGACCTCCCCCTGACTCTGATGCATGGCAGTTTAAGAAGTCTTTCCGTGTAAACGAAAAGACTTTGAAGAAAAGGTGGAGATATGCGTTGTATAAACATTCTTTTGCTCTGGAACCACGTAGAGACTTGGGAGCCAGTTGGGTGGAGCATTCGTTGGATGAGGGTGCTCGGGTTAGGAATATCAAGGTGTGGCTCCAGATAATCCAATCATGTAATTAAGATTCCAGTTATGCTCATCTGTTTTAAAATTCCGTTTGGGTAAATTCTTTGAGTCAGACTGAGAATGGCAAAGCCTCAACCCCAATTTCCAGGGAGGGTTGAGAGCCTCGGGTGGAGCTGATCACCAATAGCCTATGGTTTAACCCATCATGACTATAGAAGGAGATCTCCATAAAAACCCAAAAGGACTGGGTTCAGAGGGCTTCTGGATAACACTTCCTGGAAGGTAGTGCGCCCCTCCCCACATGCCGGGCCCCACATTTATTTCTGAACTTTTTGCAATGTCCGCTAAAATACAACGGCAAATGTAAGTGTTTACCTGCGTGCTGTGAGCTCTTCCAGCAAATGAATGCAACTAAATCTGGGAGTGGTGGCAACCTGATTTATAGCCAGTTGCTGAGAAGCACAGGTAAAACAACGTGGGGCTTCCCATTGTTATTAGTGTGGGAGGCCTGTCTGGTGGGACTCGGCCCTTTGGAATCTAATGCTATGTCCCGGTAGATAGCGTCACCATTGAATTAGAAGACACACATATGTTGAGAATAATCTCTCTGGTCATTTGCTGCATGTCTTATTTACAATACATAATCAAATTTTTTATTCTGACCTTATGGCACCTGGGTTGAGAACCCATGATTTGAACCAAACATTGGTCTGTCACTTTCTGAGTTTGAAACTTTATTTTGCCTTTAGCGTTTTGTTACTGCTTTTTCGTTTTCTTTTGTTTCGTTTCGTTTCTAAGTTCGGGGTATATGTGCAGGATGTGCAGATTTGTTACTAAGGTAAACGTGTGCCATGGTGGTTTGCTGCACCTGTCAACCCATCACCTAGGTATTAAGCCCAGCATGCAGTAGCTGTTTTTCTTAACGCTCTGCCTCCCGAAAGGCCCCAGTGTGTGTTGTTCCCCTTCCTGTGTCCATGTGATCTCATTTTTCAGCTCCCATTATAAGTGAGAATGTGGTGTTTGGTTTTCTTTCCCTGGATTAGTTTGCTGAGGATAATGACCTCACATCACCAGTGTTTTTGTTTTTCAGTATAAAGAGTAGTATTTTATTGAATAAGATTTGCTCACAGGAAAATAAGCTTAAATCTACAATGAATGCCAGACTCTTCAGCAGAAAGCAATTTCCTCACTTTTCCACACACAATGGTTCCTACTAAGCGAAAATAAGCCATAAAATTTCATTCACAAATGTACTACTCTGTCTCAAAACATCTCACATAATCATGCACTGTACTAAAGCCTTTAGATCAGTTCTTCCGTCAGGTTAAAGAAGTATTGATTGATGGGCAATCAATGAAGATATTGGGCTCTCCCGTGTCCTCCTCTGAGGATTCCTCAGATCCCCCACGTTCATCAATAATATACCACATGCTCTTACTGCCATCACCCAGCAGCTCACCCCCAGCTCTCGGGGGGTCTCCTGTGTCTCCCAGCTACTCTCCAAACAACCCCAGATTTCAGCTGGAGTCAGTCCCCCACACCCAGGAATCACTTACAAACTCACGAGCCTCACGGTGCTCCACCCCTGTGTCTTTCATCTCTTCACCCCCAGGCCTCAGGGACTCTCTGGTGGCTCCCAGTTACTCTCCAGCCATCCCCAGGTTCCTGCGGGAGTCAGTCCCATGCACCCAGGAGTCCCCCAGAGACTCACAGGTCTCGGGAGAATATGAGCGGTCCCCCAGCCCTGACTCCTCAAGATTCATGCCTGCCTCACCCAGCTTCTCCCTCTCCCCTCCCAGAAACTCAGACCCAAGGGGCAGCTCCTCACCAGAGATGTGGAAGTACTCTACATCACCCCGCAGGGCTTCACCACTCTCACATCCATCATCAACAGAATTCCACAGCTTTACGTTTCCCTTTCCTAACCAAGCAGGACAGTCACTCATGTCATTGTGTTCTCCCGTGTCCTCCTCTGGAGATTCTTCACAGTCACCTCATTCATCAATAATATACCATATGTTCTTACTGCCATCATCCAGCAGCTCACCCCCAGCCACCCATGAGTCTCCTGTCTGTCCCAGCTATTCTCCAACTACGCCCAGATTTCAGCAGGAGTCTCTACCCCACACCCCAGAAACACCTACAAACTCACAGACCTCAGTGAGATCCTCGCCAGTCTCTCTCATGTCTTCACCCCCAGCCCTTACGGACCCTCCAGTCTGTCCCAGCTACTCTCCAACCACGCCCACATTTCAGCGCGGGTCAGTTCCAGGAACCCAGGGATCACCACCAAGCCCACCACTTTCACTGAATTACTCCCCAGTCTCTAGCACGTCTTTATCTCCAACCCTCAGGGAGTCGCCTGTCTGTCCCAGCTACTCTCCAAACACGCCCACACTTCAGCGGGAGTCCGTTGCAGGCACCCAGAAATCACCACCAAACTCACCAATTTCACTGCGTTACTCCCCAGTCTCTCTCATGTCTTCACCATCCCTCAGGGACCCTCCCGTCTGTCCCAGCTACTCTCCAACCACGCCCACATTTCAGCTGGAGTCAGTTCCAGGCACCCCGGAATCACCACCAAACTCACCAATTTCACTCAGTTACTCCTCAGTCTCTAGCACGTCTTTATCTCCAACCCTCAGGGACTCTCCTGTGTGTCCCAGCTACTCTCCAACCACGCCCACACTTCAGAGGGAGTCCGTTCCAGGCACCCAGGAATCACCACCAAACTCACCAATTTCACTCAATTACTCTCCAGTCTCTCTCATGTCTTCACCAGCCCTCAGGGACTCTCCTGGGGGTCCCAGCTACTCTCCAACCACGCCCACATTTCAGCTGCAGTCAGTTCCAGGCACCCCGGAGTCACCACCAAACTCACCAGTTTCACTGAGTTACTCCGCGGTCTCTCTCATGTCTTCACCCCCAGCCCTCAGGGACTCTCCTGTGTGTCCCAGCTACTCTCCTACCATGCCCAGATTTCAGCGGGAGTCAGTTCCAGGCACCCAGGTATCACCTACAAACTCAGCAGTTTCACTGAGTTACTCCCCAGTCTCTCTCATGTCTTCACCCCCAGCCCCCTGGGACTCTCCTGTCTGTCCCAGCTCCTCTCCCACCACGCCCAGATTTCAGCGGGAGTCAGCCTCCCACACTCCGGAATCACCTACAGACTCACAGACTTCACTGAGGTCCTCCCTGGTCTCTCTCAGGTCTTTGCCCTCAGCCCACAGGGACTCTTGTGTCTCTTTCAGCTACTGTCAAAACTTCTCTAGATTCCAGCTGGAGTCAGTTCCAGGCACCCACGATACACCACCGAACTCACGAATTTCACTGACTTACTCCCCAGTCTCCCTCATGTTCTCACCCCCAGCCCTCAGGGACTCTTCTGTCTCTCTCAGCTACTCTCCAACCATCTCCAGATTTCACCTGGAGTCAGCTTCCCGCACCCAGGAATCACCTACAAACTCACGGACCTTACTGCAACCCTCCCCCATTTCTTTCACCTCTTCACCCCCTGCCTTCAGGGACTCTCCTGGGTCTCCCAGCTTCTCTCCAGCCTTCCCCGGATTTCTGCCACAGTCAGCCCCAGGCACCCAGGACAACCCTAGACACTCACAGGCCTCACGAGACTATCTCCCTATGACCTGTACCTATACAGGGATGGCTCCCACGCATCCCTCAGTGACCCCAAACCCATCTCCACTTACACTCAGACACTCCCAGGGCCTGACAGCTACTCCCCGTTATTGTCCTTCAGTTCGAAGCCCTGGCCAATCTACTAGCCCACATGACGCAGTTACATGGCCATTTCTCCACATTTCTGGTGAGGGCCCCACAACCAGCCGCACAAGAGCCCCTCCTGCATTCCGTCCTCACACGCAGGCCTGTCCATCTACTTGCTACTGTCACACTCTTGCCAGCAGAAGAGGCCCCTGTAATGGCCGATATCACCACCCAGTCTATCCTCACCCCACAGCTGTGCAGCAGGACCCTCCTGCTGGCCCACGTGGCTGCCAGAGCCCATGCTGGCACGACGCTCCAGCAGGTCGGCGTCCCTGCGGGACACACTACCGGTGACATGGCTAGCATGACCCTCCTTCCTGGCAGTGACACTGTTGATGTGAACCCCGGTTTCACATCTGTCATTTGTAAATAGGACCATTTTCCCTTTTCGCTCTCCCTTCCATTCACAGGGCTTTTCATTCTCTCTGTTTCTGCCTCCGTTTCAGATATTTACTCACCTTTTTCTCTCTCACTATGTCTGCCGTGGTCTCCATTAGAGTGCGCCACATAAGATTTCCCCATTAAAAGTCATGAATTGAGTGGCTTTTAGTATACCTGTGGTTGTGCACATTCAATTTTAATTCGCAATCCATTGTAGAACGTCTTATCACCCCCGACCAGAGAAAAACCCTGTAGACATTAGTCACTCCTCATTCTGTCTCAAACCATCAGGGCCTGATGGGAAGGCACTTTCGTCTGTGGGGGACCCATGCCCTGCTTCTCCGTGGCGCGGTTTTTTTTTTTTTCCTGCCATAGATCCCTCACCTCTCCTTCCTCAAATCTCACCTTCCCCTCTTGGGTCTTCTGTCTGCCTTGGGGTACACCTAGCGGTCCGAGGTGCACTGTGGGCTCGAACCAGGGACTCCAGTGTCCCTGAGGCCCAGCGCAAGGCCTGATGGAAAGACACTTTCGTCCGTGTGGAAGACCCAGTCCCCGCTTCTCCGTGGCAGGTTTTTTTTTTCTCTGCCCCATGTGCCTCACCTTCCCCTCTTGTGCCTTCTGCACGCTTTGGGGTACACCTAGCGACCCGGGGCACACCCTGGTCTCGAACCATGGAAGCCAGATTCCACTGGGCCAAGCTCAGTGGCTGATGGGAAGACACGTTCTTCCTCGGGGACCCAGGCTCTGCTTCTCTGTGGCGTTTTTTTTTTTTTTTCCCCAGTTGCCTCACTTTCCCGTCATGGGCTTTCTGCCCGCCTTGAGGTACCCCTAGCCGACCCGAGGCACACCGTTGTTTTGAGGCAGGGATGCTAGGGTCTCCGGGGCCCAGTGCAGGGCTTATGGGTAGGGACGTTCGTCCATGTGGGACCCAGTCCCCACTTCTGGGCGGCACAGTTTTTTATTTTATTCTCTGCCCCAGGTGTCTCACCTTTCCCTCATGGGCCTTCTGTCTGTCTTGGGGTACCCCTAGCAGGCCGAGGCGCACGCTGGGCTCGAGCCAGGGATACCAGGGTCCCCGGGGCACAGTGCAAGCGCTGATGGGAAGACAGTTTCTTCTGTGGGGGACCCAGGCCCCGCTTATCCGAGGCACAGTTGTTTTTTTCTCTGCCCCACGTGCGTCACCTTCCCCTCATGGGCCTTCTGCTTGCTTTTGGGTACCCCTAGCGGCCTGAAGCACACCCTGGTCTCGAACCAGGAATGCCAGGGTCCCTTGGGCCCAGCGCAAGTGCTGATGGGAAGACACTTTCGTCCGTTGGGGACCCAGGCTCCGCTTCTTCGTCGTGCAGTTTTTTTTTTCTGCCACAGGTGCCTCACCTCTCCTTCCTCAAACCTCAACTGCCCCTCCTGGGATTTCTGCCCGCCTTGTGTTACCCCTAGCAGGCCCGAGGCGCACCCGGGGCTCGAACCGGGGTCTCCAGCGTCCACAGGGCCCAGCGCAGGGACTGATGGGAAGGCATTTTCACTCTTGGGGGACCCAGGCCCAGCTTCTCCTAGGCGCGGCTTGTTTTCTTTTTTTTTTCTGCCACAGGTTCCTCACCTCTCCTCCCTCAAACGTCAACTTCCCATCATGGGCTTTCTGTTCGACTTGGGGTACCCCTAGCGGCCCAAGGCGCTCCCTGGACTCGAACCATGGATGCCAGGGTCACCGGGGCCTAGCGCAGGCGCTGATGGGAAGGTACCTTCATCCGTGGGTACCCAGGCCCCGCTTCTCAAAGCTGCGGTTTTTTTTCTCCTCCCCAGGTGCCTCACCTTCCCCTCATTGGCCTTCTGCCTGCTTTGGGGTACCACGAGCAGGCCCGAGGCGCTGCCGGGTCTCCAATCAGGGTCGCCAGGTTCTCGGGGCTAGCGCAGGGGCTGATGGGAAGGCACTTTCATCAGTGGGGACCCAGGCCCGGCTTCTCCGAGGTGCTGATATATACATATATATATATATACATATATATATGTATATATATATATACATATATATATGTATATATATATATACATATATATATATATATATATATATATATATATATATATATATATTTTTTTTTTCTGCCACAGGTGACTCACCTCTCCTCCCTTAAATCTCGCCTTCCCCTCGTGGGCTTTCTGGCTTCCTTAGGGTACCCTAGCATGCCAGAGTCTCTTCTGGTCCTTGAACTAGGGTCGCCAGAGTCCAGGGGGCCAGCGCAGGGGCTGATGAGAAGGCACTTTCGTCCGTGGGAGAACCAGGCCCCGCTTCTCTTCCGCACGTTTTTTTTTTTTTCTGCCGCAGGTGCCTCACCTCTCTTCCCTCAAACCTCACCTTTACCTCATGGGCCTTCTGCCCGCTTTGGGGTACACCTAGCGGGCCCAAGGTGCACCCAGGCCTAGAACCAGGGTCGCCTGGGTCCACGGGGCCCAGCTCAGGGACTGATGGGAAGGCACTTTTTTCCCATGGGAGACCCAGGCCCCACTTCTCTGTGGCGCGGTTTCTTTTTCTTTTCTGCCACAAGTGTCTCACCTCTCCTCCCTCACAGCTCACCTTCCTCTCATGGGCTTTCCACCGCGTTGGGGTACCCCTAGTGGCCCGAGGCTCTCCCTGAGCTCGAACCAGGGACTCTAGGTTCCCCGGGGCCCAGTGCAGGGGCTGATGGGAAGGCACTTTCATCCGTGGGGTACCCAAGCCCCACCTCTCCGCGGCGCGGGTTTCTTTTTTTTCTTTTTCTGTGACAGGTGCCTCACCTCTCCTCCCTCAAAACTCACCTTCCCCTCACGGGCTTTGTGTCCCCAAAGCCCCCCTTGGGGTGCACTTAGCGGCCGAGGCACACCCTGAGCTCGAACGAGGGACACTAGGGTCCCTGGGTCCCAGTGCAGGGACTGATGGGAAGACACTTTCGTCTGTGGGGCACCCAGGCCGTGCTTCTCCGCGGCGAAGTTTTTCTTTTTTTCTCTGCCCCAGGTGCCTCACCTTCCCCTTAGGGGCTTTCTGCCCACCTTGGGGAACCCCTACTGTCCCGAGGCGTACCCCAGGGTCAAACCAGGGACGCCAGGGTCCCCAGGGCCCAGCGAAGGGGCTGATGGGATGGCACTTTCATCCGTGGGGGACGCAGGCACTGCTTCTCGGCTGAGCGTTTTTTTTTCTCTGCCTCAGGTGCCTCACCTTCCCCTCATGGACCTTTTGTTCGCTTTGTGGTACCCCAAGCTGTCCCGAGGCGCACCCTGGGCTCGAACCAGGGTCGCCAGGGTCCACCAGGCCCAGCATAGGGCCTGATGGGAAGGCACTTTCATCCGTGGGGGACCCAGGCCCCGCTTCTCTGAGACGCGGTCCTCTTTTTTTTTTTTTTTTTTCTGCCCCTGGTGCCTCACCTCTCCTCCCACAAACTTCAACTTCCACTCATGGGCCTTCTGTCCAAGTTGGGGTACCCCTAGTCGCCTGAGGCACACCCTGGGCGTGAACCAGGGATGCCCGGGTCCCTGGGGCCCAGCGCAAGGGCTGATGGGAAAAAACTTTCGTCCCCGGATGACCCAGACACCGCTTCGCGGCGCATTTTTTTTTCTTCTTTGCCCCAGGTGTCTCACCTTCCCCTCATGGGCCTTCTGCCTCTCTGCGCCTGCGCCGGCGCTGTGGGCCTCTCTGCGCCTGCGCCGGCGCTGTGGGCCTCTCTGCGCCTGCGCCGGCGCTGTGGGCCTCTCTGCGCCTGCCCCGGCGCTGTGGGCCTCTCTGCGCCTTTCGCCAGCGCTGTGGGCCTCTCTGCTCCTGCGCCGGCGCTGTGCGCCTTTGCGAGGGCGGAGCTGCGTTCTTCCCAGCACAGACAAGGAGAGCATCGCCAGGGCGGAGCTGAGTTCTCCTCTGCACAGACTTCAGAGATACAGCGAAGGCGGAGCAGTGTTCTCCTCAGCACAGACCCAGGCGGGCCGGGGGCACCGCGAGGGCGGAGCTGCGTTCTGCTCAGCACAGACCCGGGGGACACCGCTAAGGCAGAGCAGCGTTCTCCTCAGCACAGACCTTTGGGGCACTGCCTCGCTTTGGGACAACTCGGGACCACATAGACGGTGAATAAAATCCTTCCCTTTTGCAGCCCTGAATAATCAGGGTCAGAGACCAGTTAGAAGGGCTCAGTGTGGAAAAGGGAAACCAAAAGCCCCTCTGAATCCTGCCAACCGAGGTTCTCCCCAGCCAAGCCAAGGCAGCCGCAGTGCGAGATCCACACCGCAGCCTCGGAAGACAAATGCAGCATTCCTAATGCAGACATGACACCCAAAATATGACACCCCCATTGCTCATGTAACAAGCACCTGTAATGCTAATGCACTGCCTCAATACAAAAATATTAATATAAGATCTGCAATCCCCTTGCTGCTATGCAGTCCTAAGACAGAGATCATAATAATCAACATTGACATAGTACAAACGTAGTAAAGAACCTAGGGTTAAGGTTGGTGTTAGGGTTAGGGGTTAGGGGTTAAGTTTAGGGTTAGGGGTTGGAGATAGGGGTTGGGGTCAGAGTTAGGAGTTAAGAGACAACGTTTAGAGTTAGAGGTTAAGAGAGGTTAGGGGTTAGGGATAAGGGGTTAGGGTTGGATTAGTGTGAGGGTGAGGGTTGTGGTTAGGGGTTAGGCTTAGGGGTTACGGTTAAGGGTTAGGGTTAGGGGTTAGGGTTAGGGTCAGGGGTTAGTGGTCAGGGTCAGGGGTTAGGGATCAGGGTCAGGGGTTAGGGATCAGGGTCAGGTTCAGGGGTCCCACTCTTTGAGTTGTCCATTTACTCTGCTGACTGTTCCCTTTGCCATGCAAAAGCTGTTTAGTTTAATTAAGTCCCAGCTATTTATCTTTGTTTTTATTGCATTTGCATTTGGGTTCTTGGTCTTGAAATCCTTGCGTATGTCAATGTCTAGAAGGGTTTATCCAGTGTTATCTTCTAGAATTTTTATAGCTCAGGAATCAGATTTAAGTTCTTAATCCATCTTGAGTAGATTTTTGTATAAGATGAGAGATGAGAATCCAGTTTTATTCCCCTACATGTGGCTCGCCAATTATCCCAACATCATGTGTTGAAAAGGGGGTCCTTTCCCCACTTTATGTTTTTGTTTACTTTGTCGAAGATCAGTTGGCTGTAAGTATTTGGGTTAATTTCTGGGTTCTCTCTTCTGTTCCATTGGTCTATGTTCCTATTTTTAAACCAGTACGTTGGTGTTTTGGTAACAATAAGGTAAGCCTTATTGTACAGTTTGAAATCAAGTAGTGTGATACCTCCAGGTTCTTTTTGCTTAGGCTTGGTTTGGTTACATGGCTCTTTTTTGGTTCCATATTAATTTTAGAATTGTTTTTGTAATTCTGTGAAGAATGATGGTGGCATTCAGATGGGGATTGCATTGAATTTGTAGATTGCCTTTAACAGAATGGTAATTTTCACAATATTGGTTCTACCCATCCATGAGCATGGGGATGCGTTTCCATTTGTTTGTGTCATCTATGACTTCTTTTCTTTCTTGTTTTTTTTTTTTTTTTCAGAGGGAGTTTCGCTCTTGTCGCTGAGGTGGGAGTGCAATGGTGTGATCTCGGCTCACTACAACTTCTGCCTCCCGGGTTCAAGCGATTCTCCTGCCTCAGCTTCCCGAGTAGCTCGGATTATAGGCGTGTGCCACCGTGCTTGGCTCCATCTATGATTTCTTTCAGTAGTGTTTTGTAATTTTCATTGTAGCTGTCCTTTGATTCCTTTGCTAGGTATATTCCTAAGTTTTGTTTTTTTGTTGTTGTTGTTTGTCGCAGCTATTGTAAAAGGGGTTGAGTTCTTGATGTGATTCTCTGCTTGGTAGCTGTTGATGTATGGAAGAGCTACGGATTTGTGTCCCTTAATCTTGTATCTGGAAACTTTGCTGAATTCTTTTATCAGTTCTAGGAAGTTTCTAGAGGAGTCCGTAGGGTTTTCTAGGCAAAAGATTATATCATCAGCAACAAGTGACAGTTTGACATCCTCTTTACCGATTTGGATTTCCTCTATTTCCTTCTTTTGTCTGATTGCTCTGGCTAGGACTTCCAGTACTATGTTGAAGAGGAGCGGTGAGAGTAGTCTCCTTGTCTTGTTCCAGTTCTCAAAGTGAATGCTTTCACCGTTTCCCCATTCAGTATTATGTTGGTTGTGGGTTTGTCATAGATGGCTTTTATTACATTAAGGTATGTCCCTTGTATGCCTATTTTGCTGAGAGCTTTAATCATAAAGCAATGCTAGATTTTGTCAAATGTTTTTTCTGTACCTGTTGATATAATCATATTAGATTTTTTTAATTCTGTTTATTTAGTGTATCACACTTATTGACTTGCATATGTGAAACTACTCCTATATCATTGGTATAAAACCCACTTGATCATGGTGGATTATTTTTTGATATGTTGTCGGATTCAGTTAGATAGTATTTTCTTAAGGATTTTGGCATCTGAGTTCATCAAGGATATTGGTCTGTAGTTTTCTTTTTTGGTTATGTCCTTCCATGGTTTTGGTATTAGGGTGATGCTGGCTTCATAGAATGAATAAGGAGGGTTTCTTCTTTCTCTGTCTTGTGGAATAGTATGAAAAGATGGGTATCATTTCTTCCTTGAATGAAAGAAGACATTCTTTGAATGTCTGGTAGAATTCTGCTGTGAATCTGTCTGGCCCTCAGCTTTTTTTGCTGGTAATTTTAAAATTACCATTTCAATCTTGCTGCTTGCTTTATTGGTCTGCTTGGGGTATCTAATTCTTCCTGATTTAAGCTAGGGGAGTTGTATTTTTCCAGGAATTTATCCAACTCTTCTAGGTTTTGTAGTTTATGTGCCAAAAGGTGTTCATAGTACCCTTGAATAATCTTTAATATTTCAGTGGTGTCAGTTGTAATATCCCCTGTTTCATTTCTTAGTGAGGTTATTTGGATTTTCTCTCTTCTTTTCTTGGTTAATCTTGCTAATGGTCTATCAATTTTATTTATCTTTTCAAATAACCAACTTTTTGTTTTATTTATGTTTTGTATTTGTTGTTGTTGTTGTTGTGTCAATTTCATTTAGTTCTGCTCTGATTTTTGTTATTTCCTGTGTTTGCTGGGATTGGGTTTGGCTTGTTCCTGCTTCTCTAGTTCCCTGAGATGTGAACTTAGATTGTCTGTTTGTGCTCTTTCAGACTTTTTGATGTAGGTTTTTAGGACTACAAACTTTGCTCTTAGCAGTGCCTTTGCTGTATCCCAGAGGTCTTGATAGGTTGTGTCATCCAGTTCGAAGACATTTTTTACATTTCCATCTTGATTTCATTTTTCACCCAATGCTCATTCTGTGAGGAACAACCAAATTGTTTTCCGCAGCAAGGGCATCATTTTCTATTCCTAGCAGCCACATCATGAGGGCTCCAACTTCTCCACCTCCTTAGCAACATTTATTTTCTGTGTCATTGTTATGAAAGCCTTACTTGTGGATGCAGAGTGGCATGAATGAAGTCAATTAACACGTTTATTACCTCACAGAATAGTCACCTTTTGGGTGCATGGGTGGGATAAGAAAACTTAACTCCATCCCCTGTGACGGAATAGTGGCCATTCCAGCTGCTCCAGGCTCCAGCAGAGGAAGACCGGGGTATGTGGCCCCACCAGGGTGACCCTCAGGCCTGGCGCGCACGCATTCCAGAGGCCACCCAAACCATGCTCTGCCATCTGGGCGCCCAAGCTGCCGTCGCCCCCTGTGTGCAGGCAGCATCTGCCTGGCAACCCCCGAGCCCGCTCGCGCTCCTAGCATCACAGAAGCAGGGCCACGTGTCCCAGTGGCTGCAGCCAAGCCAGGCATTCTGCCCTGCGGCAGCAGCTGCACAGGAGCGAGAACTGAGAACCCACCGCTCAACCCCACACGAGGTGACTGCCGAGTGCCCATATAAACGGCTCCGATCTCCCTCAGGTGGAGGAGTGGTCGGGAGGCATGGCCTGGGGGCCCTCAGGCTTGGCGCGCTGGCGATCCCAAGGCCGACCAGGCCATGCACCTCCAGCCTGCCTGGGCACCCGAGCTGCAGCCGCCTTCTGCATGCAGGCAGCAGCCTCCAGGCAACTCCCGAGCCCGCCCACACTCCCCACATCTTGGAAGCAGGGCCAAATGTCCCTGTGGCTGTGGCCAAGCCAGGCGGTCTGTACTGCAGCAGCTGCACAGGGGCGGGAACCGACCCTCAGCCCCATCCCCGGTGGCTGCAGAGGGCCCCTGGATAGAGATCTGGAGCTCTGACAGAGGAGGAGCCGGGCCAGGGCAGGGTCTGGCAGGCTCTCAGGCCAGGGGCACCCGCGATCCAGAGGCCGCCCAGGGCATGCTTCACCACCTGGGAGCCCAGCTACAGGCGCCGGGCGACTCCCAAGCTGGCTGGCGCGCCCAGCCTCGCAGAACCGGAGCTAGATGTCGCCATGGCTGCGACCAAGCCAGGCGGTCTGCCCAGGGGCGGCTGCACCGGGGCAGGAACCGACCCTCAGCCCCATCCCCGGTGGCTGCAGACGGCCCCTGGGGCGGCCCCGATCTCTCTTCGGAGGAGGAGAGGGGCGGGAGTCACGGCCAGGCGGACCCTCAGGCGGGAAGGAGTGCGCGCCTGTGATTCCGGGACGTCCCGCGCCAGCCCAGGAGAACCCGCAAGCCAGCGGCGCCTGTTTCTCTGTGTGATTCTTTGAGGAACCACCAAACTGTTTTCCACAGCAAGTGCATCATTTTCTATTCCTAGCAGCCAGTTCATGAGGGCTCCAGTTTCTCCACCTCCTTAGCAACATTGATTTTCTGTGTCGTTGTTATGAAAGCCTTACTAGTGGATGCAAAGTGGCATCTCATTTGGGTTTTGCCTTGCATTTTATTAATGAATAATGGTGTTTAGCATCTTTTCTTTTCCTTCTTAGACATTTGTGTATCTTCTTTGGAGAAATGTCTGTTCAAGTCCTTTGCCTATTTTTTAATTGGGATCTTAGAAATTCTGTTGTTGAGTTGTGGAATATTAAGCTTTTATCAGATACACATTTTGATTTTATCAGATACATATTTTCTCACATATTATGGGTTGTCTTTTCACTTCCTTGATAGTATCCTTTGATACATAAAGGGTTTTTTATTTTGATTAAATCTAATTTTCGTGTATTTTCTTTTGTTATCTGTGCTTTTCTGTCATATTTCAAAATACACTTAAAACTCAAAGGTCATAAAGGTTTACCGTGTGTTTTCTTCTAAGAGTTACATATTTTTAGTCCTTACATTTAAGTATTTTATTAATTTAGAATTAATTTTTGTATATACTGCAAAGTAGGGGTCTAACTTCTCTCTTGTGCACTGACATCCAGTTGTTGAAGAGACTGTTCTTTCCTCCCTTGACTAGACTTGGCCACCTTGTTGAACAGTCATTGACCATATATGTGAGGACTAACTTGTAGGATCTCAAATCTGTTCCATTGTATTGGTCTGAAAGTCTATTGGTCTTATTCCAGTACCACACTCTCTTGATTACTGTAGATTTGTAGTAGGCTGTGAAACTGAAAAATGTGAGTTTTCCAATGTTGTTTTTCAAGACTGTTTTGTCTGTCAGATCCTTTGAATTTTTGTATGATTTTAGAATGAGTTTCTTTGTTTCTGCAAAAATGCCTTTGGGATTTTGATGGTATTGCATTGAATCTGTAGATTACTTTAGATGGTATTGTCATCTTAACAATATTGTCTTACAACCCGTGAACACAGAATGTCTTTCCACTTATTTCCACTCTCTTTAGTTTTTTGCAGCAATGTTTTATGTATACCACCATGGTTAGATTTATGCCTGAATAACGTATTATTTGATGTCATTATAAATGGAATTTTTAAAATGTTTTCATAGTTCTTTACAACTATATAGAAATATAGCTCATTTGCCTATGTTTGTTTGCATCCTGCCTCTTTTATTAGTTATAATCGGTTTTGTGTTTTGTTTGGAGCTTTATACCCATAAGATCATGTGTAGATATAATTTTACACCTATTTTTTATTTCTAATTTAGATGCCTTTTATTTCTTTGTCTTGCCTAATTGCTCTGGCTAGAACTGCCAGTGCTACGTTGAATACAAGTGGCAAATGCACCATCCTTTTCTTCTAGATGTTAGGAAAACAGCTTTCAGTGTTTCATCATTGATCATGATATTAACTGTTGGGTTTTTGTACATCCCATTGTCATGTTGCAGAAGATCCCTTCTATGCCTAGTTTATTGAGTATTTTTATTATAGAAGGGTGTTGTATTTCATCAATGTTTTCTCTGCAGCAATTGAAATAATCACGTGCTTATTCATTTTACTGTTACAGCATATTACACTGATTGATTTTTTATATGTTGAACCACCCTTGCATTTTGGGGATAAATCTCAAAGGGTGATAGTTTACAATCCTTTGATTATACAGTATTGCTGCTGCTAGTATTTTGCTAGTATTTCTAGTATTTTGCTGAGATTTTTGCTTATATATTCATAAGGGATATAGTGCTGTATTTCTCTCTTTTGTGCTCTCTTTGTCTTTGGTATAAGGATAATGCTGTTATCAAAAAATGAATTAGCAAGTATTCCTTCTTCATATATTTTGTCAGAAGAGTTTGAGAAGAAATGGTATTAATTCTTCTTTAAATGTTAGGTTGACTCACCAGTTAATGCAGCTATTTGGTCATAAATGTTTCTTTGTTAATCGCTTTCGATTACTAATTCAATCTCCTAGGTTATAGGTCTATTCAGATTTTCTCTTTCTTCTTGAGCCACTTTGGTAGTTTGTGTCTTTCTAGCGATTCATCCATTTCATCCAGGGCACCTAATTTGTTGCTAGACAGTTGTTCACAGTATACTCCTGTAATCCTTTTGTATTTCTGTAAAGTTGGTAGTAATGGCTCTGCTTTCATTTATCATTTTAATAATTAGTCTTCCATCTTTTGCTCAGTCAATATAGTGAAAGGCTTGATCTTTCAAAGAATCTACATTTTTTCATTCTACTGCTCTCCAACCTTCTGTTTTATTGATTTATGCTCTAATTATGCTCTTTATTATTTCTTTCCTTCTGCTAGCTTTGGATTTAGTCTTCCACCTGGATTTATTTTGAGAGTGATATTGATGTAACTTCATGGAAATAATACTAGATAGAAAGTTAGCGGATAGATTCTCTATCTGATGAGAGTTTGGTGCAAGTCGAGTACCAGGTTACCAAGTTTTATTTTTTTCTCTGACCCAAAAAACAATTTGGCAGCCGGTGAGAAACTCTCACAGCTCTGGATGTGAGTTTAGGACACTGCATTTCTAGCATTCAATTTCTTACTACTTTTTTGCACAGGGATCATGGCACAAGTTGCAGTTTCCACCCTGCCCATGGAAGATGAGGAGTCCATGGAAGATGAGGAGTCTGTTGAAGATGATTCCGTGGAGAGCAGGATGGTGGTGACATTTCTCATATCAGCTCTCGAGTCCACGGTGAGACCTTCTGTTCTAACATGATATAATTTGGTAGAACTGGGTGGTAGATAAGGTTGATTTTTTTTTTGTAGAACTTATAATTTTATGATTTGTAGTTCTAATGAGTAGATCTTTTTCTGGAATAGTAGTTATGTTCAAACACTTCTAACCAAATGTGCCATGTTGTCCAGTCTGGTCTCAAAATATGGGGCTCAAGAGACCTGCCCACCTTGGCCTCCCAAAATACTGGGATTACAGGTGTAAGCCCCTGAATCTGGCCAGATATTTTTCTTTTTATGGCTGAATAATACTCTGTGTATGTATATATTACATTTTCTTTATCTATTCACCTACTGATGGGCATTAGGTTTGGGCTACCTTCTGGCCACTGTGAATAATGCTGCTGTTAATTGGGTGTACAAATACCTGTTTGAGTCCCTGCTCTCAGTTCTTTTGGGTATATACGCTTAAAGGGTGTTGATGGATCATATAATTCTATGCTTCATATTTTTAAGGAGCTGCTAAACCATTTTCCACAGTGGGCTGTACCATTTTACATTCCAAAAAGCAATGCATACAGCTTCCAATTTCTCTATAGCATTGCTGACAGTTAATATTTTCTGTTTATGTATTGTATTTTTATAGTGTTTGAAATTAATCTGAGGCTTTTCACTGATACCAAAATATTAGGAAAGGTTTTCCAAAAATAATACTGCTTATTATAGAGGATTTTACGTGTTACTTGATGCCCTGTGATCTGTTTTCTAAGTAAGAAGAGGAACTTCTTGGCTGGGCACAGCGGCTCATGCCTGTAATCCTAGCACTTTTGGAGACCGAGGTGAGTAGATCACCTAATGTCAGGAGTTCAAGACCAGCCTGGCCAACATAGTGAAACCCAGTCTCCACTAAAAAAAAAAAAATTAGCTGGGTGTGGTGGGGGGTGCCTCTAATCCCAGGTATTCGGAAGGCTGAGGCAGAGAATTGATTAAACCCATAAGGCAGAGGTTACAGTGACCGAGATTGCACCACTGCACCCCAGCCTGTGTGACAGAGTGAGAGTCCATCTCAAAAAAAAAAGGAAAGAAAGAAGAAGAACTTCTCTCCATCCAGCCTCATTCCACTACACCAACTCTTCTGTGTCTGGTTGTGCAGGGGAGAAAGGGAGCTTGGCAACTCTTTGCTGTGTTGAGTTGTGGTAGCCCATCACTGGGTTGTAAAGTGCCTTGCCTCCTTTCCTCCCCTCCTTTTTTTTGAGACAGAGTCTCACTCTGTCGTCCAGGCTGAGGTGCAGTGGTGGGATCTCTGCTCACTGCAACCTTAGCCTCCTGGGTTCAAGTGATTCTCCTGCCTCAGCCTCCCAAGAAGCTGGGACTACAGGCACATGCCACCACACCTGGCTAACTTTTTTTATTTTTAGTAGAGACAGGGTATCACCATGTTGGCCAGGCTGGTCTTGAACTCTTGACTTCAGGTGATCCACCCACCTTGGCCTCCCAAAGTGCTGGGGTTAAAGGCATGAGACACTGCACCCATCCACCTCCTCTTTTACTTGGGAGAAATGCACAGATTCTGGGTGCCATGTGCATTTGTTTTGGGAGTGATAATTGATCTAACTTATGGAAATAATACTAGATAGTTAGCGGATGGATTCTGTATCTGATGAGAGTTTTGGGCAAAATGAATTCCTAGTTTCTGAGTCTTATTTTTCCCCTGATTCAAGATAACTGTGAATTATCCAGCCAGTAAAAAACTCTCACAGCTCTGGATGTGAGTTTAGGACACTGGATTTCTACCACTCATTTTCTTACTACTTTTCTTGTGCAAGGATCATGGCACAAGTTGCAGTTTCCATCCTGCCCATTGAAGATGAGGAGTCTGTTGAAGATGAGGAGTCCTTGGAGAGCAGGATGGTGGTGACATTCCTGTCAGTTCTCGACTCCATGGTCAGACCTTCTGTTCTCACATTCTGTAGTTCGGTAGGACTGGGCGGTAGATAAGGTTGATTTGTTTTTGTAGAACTTACAATTTTGTGATTTTTAGTTCTAATGAGTAGAACTTTTTCATGAATAGTAGTTACGGTCAAACACCTCTGACCAAATGTGCATGTGGAGTTTCTACACTGATTTTCAAACAATCTGGATCCCAACTGGGTATCCCACAATTCCATCCTGACACTCCCTGGAGTTAGTGCAGACCCTGCAGGATGGGAGCTCAGTCCCAGGAGTCTACCCTCACTCCACATACCAATTGCAAGTCTTGGGTTGTTACATGTAGTTTTGACCAACCAGTTAGAAAACAGGGTTTCATGACCCCCATTGGTGGGTGGAATCATTTGCTCGGACAGCTTGCAGAACTCAGAAAAACAGATTGTTTTCTTTTTTTTCTGAGATACAGGGTCTCAGTCTGTTGCCAGGCTGGAATGCAGTGGTGTGATCAAAGCTCACTGTAGCATGGGACTCCTGGGCTCAAGTGATCCTTCCACCTCAGCCTCCCAAATAGCTGAGATTATAGGCCTGTACCAGCATATCTGGCTATGTTCTTTTACTTTTTGTAGAGATGGGGTCTTGTTATGTTGCCCAGGCTGGTCTCAAATTTCTGGGCTCACGTGATCCTCCCACCTCAACTTCACAAAATGCTGGGATTATGGGCATGAACCACTGCATCTCACCAATTTACTTTCTTTTACTGGTTCATTTTAAAGGCTAAATCTCAGAAACAGCCAGTGAAAGAGATGTACATGCTGGGCACAGTGGCTCATGCCTGTAATTTCAGCACTTTGGGAGACTGAGGCGGGAGCATCACTTAAGTGCTCAGGAGATTAAGACCAGCCTGGGTAACAAGGTGAAAATGCATCTCTACAAAAAGATTTTTCTAAAAATTAGCCAGGCACAGTTATCTATAGTTCTAGCTACTCAGTGCCTATAATTCTAGCTACTCAGGAGGCTGAGGTGAGAGGATGAGAGGATGGGGCTTGAGATAGGGAGGCATAGTTCGCAGTGAGCCATGATTGTGCCATGACACTCTAGGCTGGGAGATAGAGCCAGACTCTGTCTCAAAAAAAAAACAAAAAGCACACAGGGCAAGGTATGTCGAGAGGGGTACAGAACTTCCATGTCCTCTATTGTGCATATTACATTCCTGGTATCTCCCTTGTGTTCAGCAACCCAGACATTCTCCAACTCCAGCTGTTGAGGGCGCTTATGAACGCTTCATTATGCAGGCATGATTGGTGAAGTCATTGACCATTGGTGATTAAGTCAGTCTTCGGCCACTATTTCTTCCTGGAGCCCAGGGGGTGAGGCTGACAGTTCCAAGCCTCTAATCACATGGTTTGTTCTTCTGACAACAACCACCCCTTTTTCTGAAGCTGTCTACAAGCTTTCAGTCACCCAGTCATCTCAGTAACATCACCAAATGCATTCTTACTATGGTGATCCCAAAGGTCTTAGAGGCTCTTGTGTTAGAAACCTGGGACTAAGACCAAATATTGAAACAGAAGATGCCCCATCACTTTCATCACCAAGGCCTTTATAAGAGCTTGAGAAGCTCTTTGCCAGGATGAGGGGCAGAAACCAAATGTGTATTTCTTTTCTTTTTCTTTTGAACACAGAGTCTCTGTTTCACCCAATCTGGAGTGCAGTGATGGTGTTGTAGCTAACTGCAGCCTCAACCACCTGTGCTCAAGCAATTCTCCCACCTCAGCCTTCCAAGCATCTGGGACTACAGGTGCACACCATCTATGCCCAGCTAATTGTTGTATTTTTTTGTAGAGATAGGATCTTGTTATATTGCCGAGGCTGGTCTTGAACTCTGGGGCTAAAGCGATCCTTTCACCACAACCTCTCAAGTAGCTGAAACTACAGATGCATACTACCATGCCCAGCTAATTTTTTCTTATTTCTTTTTGTTGTTTAATTGAGGGGGTCTCGCTGTGTTTCCCAGGCTGGTCCTGAAGTTTTGGCCTCAAGCGTTTCTCCTCCTTTGACCTCCTAAACTGTTGGGATTATGGTTGTGAGCCACGGCCTCTGTGTCCAGCAATCACAAGAGGTCTTTATAAGTGAAAGAGGGAGGTAAGAGAGTCCGAATTGAAGGAGATTTGATGATGGAAGCACAGGTCACAGAGGGAGATTTGAATATGCTTTGCTTCAGGCTTTGAAGATGCAGTTAGGGGCCATGAGCCAAAGAATAGGAGTGGCTTTAGCAACTGGGAAAGGCAAGGGAACATATTCTCTCCAGAACCTCCAGAAGGGATGCAGTCCTGCTGGCACCTTGACTTTAGCCTTAATAGACCTATTTTGGACTTCTGGCCCCCAGACCTCTTAGTGAGTAGATTTGTGGTGTATTAAGCCACTCAATGTAGGGTAGTTTGTAACAGCGGCAAGAAGAAATGAACATGAAGCCAGAATTGGTGGCCCACACCTATAATTCCAGCTATTTAGGAGGCTGAGGCAGGATGGTTGCTTTGGCCCAGGAGTTCACGATAAGTCTGGGCAACAAAATGATACCCTGTCTACATGGAAAAAAAAAAAAATTAGCGGGTGTGGTGGCATGCACTTGTAGTCTTAGCTACTAGAGGCCCTGAGGCAGGACAATTTCTTGACCTAGGAGCTCCAGGTCTCAGTGCGTTGTGATCGTGCCATGGCACCCCAGTCTGAGTGACACAGCGAGATTATATCTTAGAAAAAAAAAGAAAAAAGAAATGAGTGAGCATGGCAGGAATAGGGACAGATAGCAATATTAAATAGAGTGGTCAGGGTTGGCCTCCTAAGTGAAAATTGAGCAAAGACTTGAAGGAGGGGAAGGAGCTGGCCAAGGTACTGAGGGAAGAGCATTTTAGGCAGAAACAACAGAATAAAGATGCTAAGAGGGAACTCCGTGGTGTGTCTGAAGCTCAGGAAAGAGGTCTGTGGAGTAGAGAGAGGGAGAGAAGTAGGGAAGGAGGCCAGGGAGTTGTTGGACTCAGATCAGTACAGATTGTGTAAGCCCTGGGAGGCTATTGCTGGGGCTTTGGTTTTTATTCTGTCTGAGATGGGAGATGCGGAAGGGTTCTGAGCAGAGAGTTGACACGAACTGTCTACTGATTTAAAAGCATCCCATGGCAGCTGAGTTGACAAAGATTGTGGGAAGATTTGGGTAGAAGCAGGGAGGCCATGCTGTGGCAACCTCCAGGTGGGAGATGATAGTGGTTCTGACCAGGGCCCTGGCAATGGTGAGAGATGGTTGATTCTTGTTGAAATGTTAAGTAATTAAAAAAAAACCACTACTGCTTTTCCCAATTATATGAAGTATGGGATGCTAGATTACAGAGATCTTAAGTCGGGCCAGGTGTAGTGGCTTATGCCCGTAGCTTCAGCACTTTGGGAGGCAGAGATGGGAGAATGGTTTGAGTCCAGGAGTTTGAGACCACCCTGGGCAACACAGCAAGACTTCCTGTCTATGCAAATAAAAATTAATAAAATATAATTATCCCGGCATAGTGGTATTTTCCTGTAGAACCTGTTACTTAGGTTGTTGAGGTGGGCAGATCTCTTGAGGGCGGGAGTTTGAGGCCAGCTTGGGCAACATAGCAAGGCTCCTCTTTCTACAAAAAAAAAAAAAAAAAAAAAAAATTAGCTGGGTGTTTTGGTGTTCATCTGTAGCCGTAGCTATGGTGAGGGTGAGGCAGGAGGATCCCCGGAGCCCAGGAGGTCACGGCTGCAGTTAGCTATGAGTGCACCCCTGCATTGCAGCCAGAGTGACAGAGTGAGACCCGGTCTCAGAATACAGATACAAGTAAAGAAATCTCAGCTCAGAGCAGTCTGTTTGTCACTATGCAGCCTTTGCAACCCCATAGCTGCGCGATTGGGTTTGTGTTGCTGGAGGTGAGGAGACCCGTGCCCAGGTGTTGTTGCCTGTCTAATCAGTTTATTTTAAAATATATTAATGAAATTTATTTCATCATACTTTATGGCCTCATACCTGAATGGTTTTTTGAATTCTCCTTTGAATAGCTTGTAACTATTCAAACCTCTTATTGGTTCTATAATTAATTCTTTTTCTAATTAGCTTTTTAAAAATCAGAATTGATATTAGACTAATCAGTTATTAATGAGGAGATGAAATTGAGTTGTTTGTACACTTTATCTAAGATAGTGTTATATTGGCTAACTCAAATCAGTAGTTCAGCAAATGCAGAATCAGAGCTTCTTCAGCGTGGAACTCTCTTGTGGTTCTTGAAGATGCCATTTCTTTCTTTTTTTTTTTTGAGACAGCATCTTCCTCTGTCACCAGGCTCGAGTGCAGTGGCACAATCTCAATTCACAGCAACTTCTGCCTCCCGGGTTCAAGCATTTCTTTTGCCTCAGCCTCTGAAGTAGCTGGGACTACAGGCACATGCCACCATGCCCGGCTAAGCTTTGTATTTTCTGTAGATACGGGGTTTCAGCATGTTGGACAGGCTGGTCTTGAACTCCTGACCTTGTGATCCACTGGCCTTGGACTCCTAAAGTGCTGGGATTACAGGTGTGAGCCACCGTGCCTGGCCTCTTTTTTCAGTCTTTAATAAACTGCTGCCATCATTTCAGACCACTTGCTATTTTAGGCACTTAGAAATTTTTCACTGGAATTCATGTAAAGAAAGACCATGGGTGTTTGTACTGGATTTAGTATTCATCCTTCGACTGCATGACTCACCCCTAGTGCCATAATTTTACTAAAGAATTTTTCAGATACTACTCAGCTGGCCACTGAACCTAACCAGCAACCCACCCTCAACCATTCAGTGGTCTTTTGTTCTTCTATGTTCCTCCTGAATGTTGATTACTCTCAGAAGGTGATAAAAACTTGGATTTCTTTTTTTTTTTCTTTCTAGAGACAGGGTTTTGTTCTGTCACCCAGGCTGCAGTGCAATGGCATGATCATGGTTCACTGCAGCCTGAAACCCCGGACTCAAACAGTCCTCCCACCTCAGCCTCCCAAGTAGCTGGGACTACATACATTTGCCCCTATTCCCAGCTAACTTCTTTATTTTTTATTGTACAGATGGGATCTTGCTGTGTTGCTCAGGATGTTGTCAGACTCCTGGCCTCAAGTGATCATTCTGCCTCAGCTTCCCAAAGTGCTTGGATTATATGTATGTGGGAGCCACCTGTGTTCAATGCCCATTTTCTTTTTCTTTCTTTCTTTTGGAGACGGACTCTCACTCTGTCATGCAGGCTGGAATGCAGTGGTGTGATCTCAGCTGACTGCAACCTCCACCTCCCTGGTTCAAGCAACTCCCCTGCCTCAGCCTCCCGACTAGCTGGAATTACAGGCCCATGTCACCACTCTCAGCTAATATTCTTGTATTTTTAGTAGAGACAGAGTTTCAGTATGTTGGCCAGACTGGTCTCGAACTCCTGAAATCAGGCAATCCACCCACCTTGGCCTCCCAGTGTGCTGAGATCAGAGGCGTGAGTCACCACACCATGCCCAGCCATTTTTAAAATAATAACGTTATTGAAATATGATTAACGTATCATGCAATTCATTTATCAAAGTACACAATTCAGGCCAGGTGCAGTGGCTAATTCCTATAACGCTAAGACTTTGGGCAGCTGAGGCAGGTGGATCGCTTGTGTTCAGGAGTTTGCGACTAGCCTGGGCAACATGGCAAAACAGCATCTCTAGCAAAAATACAAAAATTAGCTGGGTGTGGTGGCTCATGCCTGTAGTCCCAACTACTTGGGGACATGAGACTGGAAGATCACTTGAGCCCAGAAGCCATAGGTTGCAGTGAGACCAGATGGCACCACTGCACTACAGCATGGGTGACAAAAGGAGACCGTCTTTAAATAACTAAAGAAAAAAAGAAAGTATACAATTGAGTGGTTTTTAGAATATTCAAGGAGCTGTGCATCCATCACCACAGTCTTTCTTAGAAGTGATTACCCACTTGTGAGTTACCCACTTATGAGTGAGAAACCCTCACCTCTTAGCCGTTACCTCCTACGTACCCCATGTTCATAGGCAACCAGTGATTTATTTTCTGTCATTGTAGTTTTGCCTAATCTGGACCTTTTATAGAAATAGAATTGTACAATGTGTGATCTTTTGTAATTTGCTTTTTTTTCTCTTAGCAGAATGTTTTCAAATTTCTTTCATGTTATAGTGTGTATCAGGATTTCTTTCCTTTTGTAGCTGAGTAATAGTTTATGTTTATCCATTCATTAGTTGATGGACATTTGTGTTGTTTTTGCGTATTCACCATCATGAGTCAGGCTGCTATGAACACTCGTACGTAAGTTTTAGTGTGAACATATATTTTTATTTCTCTTGGATTTACACTCAGGAGTGAAATTGTTGCATTATGTGATTACTATACATTTAGTCTTTGAGAAACTGCCACGTTGTTTTTCAAAGTGGTTACACTGGTCAGGCACAGTGGCTCACACCTTTAATCTCAGGTATTTGAGACGCTGAGTTTGGAGGATTTTCTTAGCTCGGGAGTTCAGGAGCACCCTGGGCAACATAGGGAAACAATATCTTGATTTTTTAAAAAAATCAAATGCCAAGAAAACACCCAAATTGATTACACCATTTTATATTCCCACCAGTAATGTATGTGAGTTCCAAGTATTCCAATTGTCACCAACTTTTTTTTTTTTTTTGAGACAAAATCTTGCTCTGTTGCGCAGGCTGGAGTGCAGTGACATGAACATGGCCAGTGCAGCTGTGACCTTCCAGGCACAAGTGATCCTCTCACCTCAGCCTCCTAAGTAGCTGGGACTTACAGGTGCATGCTATCATGAGCAGCTGATTTTTACAGTTTTTGGTAGAAATGGGGTGTTGTCATGTAGCCCAGGTTTGTGTCAAACTCCTGAGCTCAAGTGATCTGCCTGCTTCAGCTTCCGGAAGTGCTGAGATTACAGGTGTGTGCCACCATGCCCGACTGGTGTAACCACTTTGGAAAGCAGCCACTGAGCCCGGCCTTCACCAGTATACCAATGTTTGTTAATATCGTTTTATTTTTTACAATTTTTAAATTTTTAAAAACTTATTATTTTACCTGTATTATTGATTATAATAAACAACGAATAATTTTGTAGTAGAGTTGAGTCCCCCCAAAAAGTATTTATTGTTTAACTGAAGTAGTTTTTTTTTTAACCTGGATATATATTTTTTCATTTTCACTTTATTTTTAGTGTTTATTTTTAAAAATTATTTATATGTATTTTTATTTTAATAGGTGTTTGAGAAACAGGTGGTGTTTGGTTCCATGAATAAGTTCTTCAGTGTTTATTTCTGAAATGTAGTACCCCTCATTACTCATTAAATTATATATTAAGTCATTATAAAATCATTAATAAACCAAGGACTTTAGTAAAATGGGAATTTTATTTTAACTTGCAACCTGGGACGTAACTGTCAAAAAAATTAGAGAAATTACCACATTAAGGTTTTCAAATCTTGAACTGAAAAATGAAAACCTTGGTGCACCTAAGAACCACCAGCCCACTGGTCAAAGTGAACAAAACTAAATGAAAAAATAAAACCAAGAAAACCAAACTCAGGATTATTAGGTATTCTGTAATGCTATTTTATCTCTGTACTCACAGAAAATAATTATTATTATTATTACTATTATTATTATTATTATTATTATTTTGATATGGAGCCTCACTCTGTCACCCAGGCTGGAGTGCAGTGGTGCAATCTTGGCTCACTGCAACCTCTGCCTCCTGGGTTCAAGTGATTCTCCTGCCTCAGCCTTCAGAGTAGTTGGGATTACAGGCAGGTTCCACCATGCCTGGCTAACTTGTATTTTTGATAGAGACAGGGTTTCACCATGTTGGCCAGGCTGGTCTGAAACTCCTGATC
>NC_000022.11:12691730-12726204 GCF_000001405.40 Homo sapiens
GATCTCTGAGGTGATGCAACTCTTGTCTAGGCACTGCCTACAGGGGACATTGGTACATCTCTCTGCACTGATCACCGAGGAGATGGGCTCTTGTCTTAAATCTGCCTACATGGACATTGTGACACATTTCTGTATTGATCAACCAAGTGATGAAACTCTTGTCTAGGCTCTCCCTACAGGGGCTTTGTGACACATCTCTGCACTGTTCACCCTGGGGGGAGAAGTCTTCTCTACGCTCGGCCTACAGGAGGCTTTATGACTTATACCTCCACTGATAACCTAGGTGATGTAACACTGGTCTAGGCTCTGCCTACACGGGAATTCTCACATGTCTCTGCACTGATCACCCAGGTGACGTAACTCCTGTCTAGGTTCAGCCTACAGGAGCGTTTTGACATATCTCTGCACTGATCACCCAGGTGATGTAACCCTTGTCTAAGCTCTGCCTACAGGGGCATTGTGACAGATCTCTACACTGCTCACCCAGGTGATGTAACAATTGTCTGGGCTTTGCCTACAGGGACTTTGTGATATACATTTCCACTGATCCAACAGGTGATGTAACCCTTTTCAAGGTTCTGCTTATAGGAGCTTTGTGACATATCTCTGCACTGATCACCCCAGGGAGGAAACACTTGTCTACACTCTTCCTACAGGAGGCTTTATGACTTAACCCTGCACTGATCACTAGGTGATGTAACACTTGTCTAGGCTCTGTCTACACGGGAATTTTCACATATCTCTACACTGATCGCCTAAATGATGTAACCCTTGTCTAGTTTCAGCCTACTGAGGATTTCTGACATACCTATGCACTGATCACCGAGGTGATGTAAATCATTCCCGGGCTTTTTGTACAGGGGACATTGTGAAATATCTCTGCACTGATCACCCAAATGATGCAAATCTTCTCTAGGCTCCGCAGGGAGGGGCATTGTGACATGTTTCTGAACTGATCATCCAGGAGATGTAACCATTCTCCAGGCTTTGATGAAAGAGCATCGGAAGGTGTTTGGAGAACCTCAGCCAGAATTTCACTGACGGAAAAGGGCATAGAGAGGCCAGCGGGCTCCCTTGCACGTCAGCCAGTGTGCACAATGAGTGCAGGTCTAGCCAGGAGGCCAGCAAAGAGTGCTAGAGGTCTGCG
This sequence comes from Homo sapiens, assembly GCF_000001405.40. Taxonomy (NCBI): domain Eukaryota; kingdom Metazoa; phylum Chordata; class Mammalia; order Primates; family Hominidae; genus Homo; species Homo sapiens. The sequence goes on from NC_000022.11 coordinate 12,692,878, forward strand.
TTCCGCCGCCAAGCGCTCCATGGTGGCAGCTGGGAGGCGGCAGGGGCACGGGTGGGCTGGTGACGGTGGCGTGGAGGCAGAGAAGAGGCGAGCCGCTGGACTGTTGTCAGGCCTGGACGCTGCGCGGGCCCGGTGTTTCTCAGGACAGGGGTCTCCACCCAGCCCTGGGGAGGACGCATTTTCTGGGGGGATTGTGGGAGTGCGGAGGGGGTGGTCGTGCGGGGGTGGGGTGGTGGAAAGGCGTGAGAGCTCTGCCCGGCTGCTCTCAAAGCCCAGGCGGCTGCCCAAAAACCCTTGCGTGCGCAGTATGCGGCCCACCTCTGGTACCTGGGCCGGCGGTGGGATCCACGGGATTACCAAGAAAAAATGGCAGTTCTCTGCTGTGTGGAGCCTCTCACCAGGCCTAAACCTAGAAGGCAGGAATCCCAGGCCGGTCAGCCCAGTGGTGGGGGTGGGGTGAAGACTTGCCCCTCTATAGCCAGCCAGGTGTTCCTGGCAAAAGAGAGTCCACCGCCCTGCCCCGACCCGACCCCGTCCCAACCCCATGTCCTAAAGCTCCTCCAGCAGACCCCGGTATTCTTCCTCGCTGAGGGGTTCTTCCAGCGAGGCGGCCTCTTCCAAGGCCTCCAGCTCCCCTGGGGCCTCCGTTTCTAGGAAAGGTAGCCCCTGCTGCAGGAACTCCTGGCTCACCAGGAGCTCATCCAGCAGAAGGCCGGAGGGGAGTGCAGACGAGCACCCTGGCTCCTGGAGCACCTCGGTGGGCACCTGGATGCCTTGCATCAGCCCCTGCCACGCGGAGGCCTCCGGGGGCGTGGGCTGGCGAGGTGGAGCTGCTCCGGCTTGGGGTTCCCACGCTGCCCTGGCGACCTGGGGACCCCGGCCCCAGCCCCACCACGGACTCCCCTGGGACGCGGGTATCGCAAGCACACCTTGGCCTTGTGGCCCCGCTTGAGCGGGCCCAGGCTGTCCCACCGCGCAAGGGCCCAGCAGGCCGTCACGCTGCGGTTCCCAGTCCTCCCGGCTTTTGCCTGGGTGCCGAGGCCACCGAGGAGCCTGAGGGTGGGAGAGCGCCCCTTCCAGAGGAGCCGGGGTGGCGTAGAGAAAATCCCCGCGTGCTGGGGCAGGTTGGGAGATCCCCTCTGCCGGCACGGCCAGGCTGGCCTGGAGCACAGGGACGGCCCTCGCTCCCTGGCTCACGAAAGCCCCCTGAGGGAGAGCCCCAGGCTCTAAAACCTACACAATCTAGTATATTCTATAGCAGCAATGCATAAAGACAGCTTCACTTACCTTGTAGAATTTATACGTACACTAAATTTAAGGAATGCGTTACTTGTTATTGGAGTAGGAAAATAACTCACAGCAGAACTGATTTGCATGAATGGCTATTAAACTATCATCGATGTAGAAATTAAACGTTAAGCTATTCAGCCCCAGATGTGTGAGAGACAGAGAAAATCTTCAAATGAGTTCAGCTACCAAATCCCTTCCTCAATAGCTCTTTGAGTCTCAAGACAGTTTCAACCACACACAGCCTTAGAGTCTTATGGTCCAAACAACATTTGACTGCAGCTCTAAAGTAAGCAAATATTTGAAAAGAAACAATCAAAGATCTATGTCTGTAGTTATGGTCAAGGAGGCCCACCTACTGGTGGGTGAGCATGGCAAGGATAGGGACTAAGACAAATGATGGATTTACCAAAACAGAAACAAGATAAGCCAATGGAAGCAGAGTCCAGGTTATAACAGGAGCCCAGGCACTTGATGTGGGAACCCTATTTGTCTCACTTAGCGCTAGACTTTTAACGTCCTAGGAAGCAGAGCTAATGCCCTTCATTATTTTTTTTGTAATTGACTGCATAGTTTAGAACTATGCCTTGAATTTAATATCTATCTGTTGAATAAATGAATTAATAATGATGAAAATCTGTCCACAGGTTATGTGCAGTACTGAAGAGCAACTTCAGCTATTGAGGTATCTATCAGAAGTCTTACTCTCTAAAAAGCCTCTGGTTAATTACTGATATAGGTTGCTGACAATTTCACTCTCACAATGTAAGGGAAGCAGGAATGTTATCTGGCCTCTTGGCTCCTATTCCTTTGCCTTCCACAGATCTCTCTGCTGGTTCACAGAGGAACAGTTTTGTGGCTTTCAGTTCATTTTGCAATTCTGCTAGAATCTCATTCCATCCTCAGTTGTAACTAGCTTGTCCTTCACCCAACGCTTATTTATGGAGGGACAGATAGCAAGAAGAAATCGCACTCTGGATTACAAAGTGGGAAGATGCACCCCCTTGGCCAGAATGCCTGCCTCCTATGTTCATGATGGATATTTCTAATTGATCTCGGCACTCTTTTCCATTGAGCCCATGTCCCAAATTGGCCCTGAGTTAGGGAGAGGGCTCTAGAGTGGGAAAGGTGTACCCAAAACTTCCCTAATCTGACTATCAAGCCTAAAAAATTAAACTTTCAATTCAACATCCCTTGTTTCTCCAACTTGGAGTGCCTGATTGTGTGGGAAGCCCCTACTCATAAAATTCATAGTTGAAGATTGTTGGCAATTTTGCCCAACCCCTTCTTTTTTTTGGTTATACTTTAAGTTCTAGGGTACATGTGCACAACGTGCAGGTTCGTTTCATATGTATACATGTGACATGTTAGTGTGCTGCATCCATTAACTCGTCATTTACATTAGGTATATATCCTAATGCTTTCCCTCCCCTAGCCCCTCACCCCACAACAGGCCCCAGTGTGTGCTGTTCCCCTTCCTGTGTCCATGTGTTCTCATTGTTTAATTCCCACCTATGAGTGAGAACATGCGGGGTTTGTTTTTTTGTCCTTGTGATAGTTTGCTGAGAATGATGGTTTCCAGCTTCATCCATGTCCCTACAAAGGACATGAACTCATCATTTTTATGGCTGCATAGGATTCCATGCTGTATATGTGCCACATTTTCTTAATCCAGTCTATCATTGTTGGACATTTGGGTTGGTTCCAAGTCTTTCCTATTGTCAGTAGTGCCTCAATAAACTCCTTCTTTCTTTGCCTAGTTACACCTCAACGCAACCTCCTGGCAGGCCAGCCTTAAGCCCAGCAGTCCAACCATGCATCTAAGCTGAGTTCTCATCAGAGCCAACTTCAATTATAAACAACTGAGATGATGCCAGAGGCCAGAATCCCTGAGAACCTAATTTGCTGTCATCTCCATGGCTGAAACAAGGCGCTTGTCATCTAGAAAAGCTGATCTGTAGGAAATTTCCAATAGAGTTCAATTTTTCTAAGTTTAAAGTATACAATATCATCAAGGTCAGACACTCGAGATAAAACTAGGCTTGCGTTTAAATATAATAAAAATATTTGAAGAATAGTAAGAGTGGTGACTACTTTTACACAGGAATGTTTTAAATAAATTGCTTTTTTCTTGTGCCTTTAAAATTTTGTGATTTGTCAATGAGATGCTGACATATTTTTAATGAAGCATGCCTTGTAAAATAATAAGTGAATGAAAAATACACAGTAATATTCACATCAACAAAGCTAGAAGAAGACTGTATGTCTCATGAGGCTCCATCATCTACCCAGTGGCGACTTGACCAAATTAAGATCGAAATACCAAAAAGAAAAGTAATTAAAATTTGTGTTGTATGCCTTATAAGACCAAACGTATAAAATGAGGGGAAACTTCACAATTACTTGTAATTTGCTCTGTGGAATTGTAACAGATGGATTATAAAGATGATTCTACGATAAACATCTAAATGTGGTTACTACCTTCTGTGCTTTCTTGGTTCATATTTTTATTGTTTTTTTCTTTATAAACAGATAATTCATTCTTATCTATGGCAATGCAAACTTTTCAGATGTATTGAATATGTCATAGTTTTTATCTATTGTAGGCATCTCTAAAAAGGTATAGAAAACAAACAGAGCAAAGTCTGGTTTTGGAAAGGAGAGAGAAATAAAGCTTGTAAAGGAATGAAAATTAGAGCTTTCTGGAGATAAAAATTGTTAGAAGATACAAAAGCTAGTTACTGAATTAGTTGAAGGTTCTTTTTCAGTTTTTCCCAGTCGTTCACCTCTTAGAAGGCACATATTCACAGCAGAAAAGAAAGAAAGGGTTAAAAAGAAAATACCTCAGTGTAGTGAGACTGTAATTTCATGAGGGCATTACTGAAGACTCACTTTTTCCAGCATCACTCAGCATGGTATTATGCATGCGTGTAATGTAAAGGAAAGTGAATATGCATTCTTGGATGGGTGATCAAATTGTAATTCCAGAATATAATCAGAAGCTGATTCATTATCCTCTTGAGATTTCACAATCTTTCCATCAGCAATTAAAATTCAGAAGAGGGTAAATGTATCTGATCTTTTGAATGTCATAAATTAGAGGGTGGAGCCAAGATGGCCAAATAGGAACAGCTCCAGTCTACAGCTCCCAGCGTGTGTGATGCAGAAGACGGGTGATTTCTGCATTTCCAACTGAGGTACAAGGTTCATCTCACTGGGGAATGCTGGACAGTGGGTGCAGCGCACCATGTATGAGCCAAAGCAGGGCAAGACATCACCTCACCTGGGAAGCTCTAGGGGTCAGGGAATTCTCTTTCCTAGTCAAAGAAAGAAAGGGGTGACAGATGGCACCTGGAAAATCAGGTCACTCCCACCCTAATACTGCACTTTTCCAACAGGCTTATCAAATGGCACACCAAGAGATTACATCCCGCACATGGTTTGGAGGGTCCTACACCCACGGAGCCTTGCTGTTTGCTAGCACAGCAGTCTAAGATCAAACTGCAAGGTAATAGTGGGGCTGGGGGAGGGGAGCCTGCCATTGCTCAGGCTTGAGTAAGTAAATAAAGCAGCTGGGAAGTTCGAACTGGGTGGAGCCCACCAGAGCACAAGGAGGCCAGCCTGCCACTGTAGGCTCCATCTCTGGGGGCAGGGCACAGACAAACAAAAGACAGCAATAACCTCTGCAGACTTAAATGTCCCTGTCTGACAGCTTTGAAGAGAATAGTGGTTCTCCCAGCATGCAGCTTGAGATCTGAGAACGGCAGACAACCCCCCCTAGTTGGTCCCTGACCCCCGAGTAGCCTAACTGGGAGGCACCCCCCAGTAGAGGCAGACTGACACCTCACATGGCTGGGTACCCCTCTGAGACAAAACTTCCAGAGGAACAATCAGGCAGCAGCATTTGCAGCTCACCAATATCCACAGTTCTGCAGCCACCACTGCTGATACCCAGGCAAATAGTGTCTGCAGTAGACCTCCAGTAAACTCCAACAGACTTGCAGCTGAGGGTCCTGATTGTTAGAAGGAAAACTAACAAGCAGAAAGGACATCCACACCAAAACCCCATCTATATGTCACCATCATCAAGGACCAAAGGTAGATAAAACCACAAAGATGGGGAAAAACAGAGCAGAAAAACCGGAAACTCTAAAACTCAGAGTGCCTCTCCTCCTCCAAAGGAATACAGCTCCTCACCAGCAATGGAACAAAGCTGGACGGAGAATGACTTTGACGAGTTGAGAGAGGAGGGCTTCAGAAGATCAAAGTACTCCGAGCTAAAGGAGGAAGTTCGAACCAATGACAAAGAAGTTAAAAACCTTGAATAAAAAATTAGACAAATGGATAACTAGAATAACCAATGTGGAGAAGTCCTTAAAGGACCTGATGGAGCTGAAAACCATGGCACGAGAACTTCATGACAAGTGCATAAGCCTCAGTAACCGATGTGATCAACTGGAAGAAAGGGTATCAGTGGTGGAAGATGAAATGAATGTAATGAAGCATGAAGAGCAGTTTAGAGAGAAAAGAATAAGGCCGGGCGCGGTGGCTCACGTCTGTAATCCCAGCACTTTGGGAGGCCGAGGCAGGTGGATCATGAGGTCAGGAGATCGAGACCATCCTGGCTAACAAGGTGAAACCCCGTCTCTACTAAAAATACAAAAAATTAGCCGGGCGCGGTGGCGGGCGCCTGTAGTCCCAGCTACTCGGGAGGCTGAGGCAGGAGAATGGCGTGAACCCGGGAAGCGGAGCTTGCAGTGAGCTGAGATTGCGCCACTGCAGTCCGCAGTCCGGCCTGGGCGACAGAGCGAGACTCCGTCTCAAAAAAAAAAAAAAAAAAAAAAAAAAAAAAAAAAAAAAAAAAGAATAAAAAGAAATGAACAAAGCTTCCAGGAAATATGGGACTATGTCAAAAGACCAAATCTACGTCTATTTGGTTTACCTGAAAGTGACAGGGAGAATGGAACCAAGTTGGAAAACACTCTGCAGGATATTATCCAGGAGAACTTCCCCAATCTAGCAAGGCAGGCCAACATACAAATTCAGGAAATACAGATAATGCCACAAAGATACTCCTAGAGAAGCACAACTCCAAGACACATAATTGTCAGATTCACCAAAGTTGAAATGAAAGAAAAAATTTTAAGGCAGCCAGAAAGAAAGGTCGGGTTACCCACAAAAGGAAGCCCATCAGACTAACTGCTGATCTCTCCGCAGAAACTCTACAAGTCAGAAGAGAGTAGGGGCCAATATTCAACATTCTTAAAGGAAAGAATTTTCAACCCAGAATTTCATATCCAGCCAAACTAAGCTTCATGAGTGAAGGAGAAATAATATACTCCACAGACAAGCAAATGCTGAGAGACTTTGTCACCACCAGGCCTGTCCTAAAAGAGCTCCTGAAGGAAGCACTAAACATGGAAAGGAACAACTGGTACCAGCCACTGTAAAAACATGCCAAATTGTAAAGACCATCACGGCTAGGAAGAAACTGCGTCAACTAACGAGGAAAATAACCAGTTAACATCATAATCACAGGATCAAATTCACACATAACAATACTAACCTTAAATGTAAATGGGTTAAATGCTTCAATTAAAAGGCACAGACTGGCAAATTGGATAAAGAGTCAAGACCCATCAGTGTGCTGTATCCAGGAAACCCATCTCACGTGCAGAGACACACATAGGCTCAAAAAAAAAGGGATGGAGGAAGATCTACCAAGCAAATGGAAAACAAAAAAAAGTCAGGGGTTGCAATCCTAGTCTCGGATAAAACAGACTTTAAACCAACAAAGATCAAAAGAGACAAAGAAGGCCATTACATAATGGTAAAGGGATCAATTCAACAAGAACTAACTGTCCTAAATATATATGCACACAATACAGAAGCACCCAGATTCATAAAGCAAGTCCTTAGTGACCTACAAAGTGACTTAGACTCCCACACAATAATAATGGGAGACTTTAACACCCCACTATCATCATTAGACAGATCAACGAGACAGAAAGTTAAAAAGGATATACAGGAATTGAACTCAGCTCTGCACTAAGCAGACCTAATAGACATCTACAGAACTCTCTACCCCAAATCAACAGAATATGTATTCTTTTCAGCACCACACCACACCTATTCCAAAATTGAGCACATAGTTGGAAGTAAACACTCCTCAGCAAATGTAAAAGAACAGAAAGTATAACAAACTGTCTCTCAGACCACAGTGCAATCAAACTACAACTCGGGATTAAGAAACTCACTGAAGGCCACTCAACTACATGGAAACTGAACAACCTGCTCCTGAATGACTACTGTGTACATAATGAAATGAAGGCAGAAATAAAGATGTTATTTGAAACCAACAAGAACAAAGACACAACATACCAGAATCTCTTGGACACATTCAAAGCAGTGTGTGGAGGGAAATTTATAGCACTAAATGCCCACAAGAGAAAGCAGGAAAGAAATAAAATTGACATCCTCATATCAGAATTAAAAGAAATAGAGAAGAAAGAGCAAACACATTCAAAAGATAGCAGAAGGCAAGAAGTAACTAAGATCAGAGCAGAACTGAAGGAAATAGAGACACAAAAAACCCTTCAAAAAATCAATGAATCCAGGAGCTGGTTTTTTGAAAAGATCAACAAAATTGACAGACCACCAGCAAGACTAATAAAGAAGAAAAGAGAGAAGAATCAAATAGATGCAATAAAAATTGACAAAGGGGATATCACCACCAATCCCACAGAAATACAAATTACCATCAGTACCATCAGAGTATACTATAAACACCTCTACACAAATAAACTAGAAAATCTAGAAGAAATGGATAAATTCCTCGACACATATACTCTCCCAAGACCAAACCAGAAAGAAATTGAACCTCTCAATAGACCAATAAGAGGCTCTGAAATTGAGGCAATAATTAGTAGCTTACCAACCAAAAAAAGTCCAGGACCAGATGGATTCACAGCCGAATTCTACCAGTGGTACAATGAGGATCTGGTACCATTCCTTCTGAAATTATTCCAATCAATAGAAAAAGAGGGTATCTTCCCTAACTCATTTTATGAGGCCAGAATCATCCTGATACCAAAGCCTGGCAGAGACAAAACAAAAAAAGAGAATTTTAGACCAATATCCTTGATGAACATTGATGCAAAAATCCTCAATAAAATACTGGCAAACCGAATCCAGCAACACATAAAAAAGCTTATCCACCATGATCAAGCGGGTTTCATCCCTGGGATGCAAGGCTGGTTCAACATATGAAAATCAGTAAATGTAATCCAGCATATAAACAGGACCAAAGACAAAAACCACGTGATTTTCTCAATAGATGCAGAAAAGGCCTTGGACAAAATTCAACAATGCTTCATGCTAAAAACTCTCAATAAATTAGGGATTCATAGGACGTATCTCAAAATAATAAGAGCTATCTATGACAAACCCACAGACAATATCATACTGAATGGACAAAAACCGGAAGCATTCCCTTTGAAAACTGGCACAAGACAGGGATGCCCTCTCTCACCACTCCTATTCAACATAGTGTTGGAATTTCTGGCCAGGGCAATCAGGAAGGAGAAGGAAATAAAGGGCATTCAATTAGGAAAAGAGGAAGTCAAATTGTCCCTGTTTGCAGATGACATGATTGTGTATGTGGAAAACCCCATCGTCTCAGCCCAAAATCTCCTTAAGCTGATAAGCAACTTCAGCAATGTCTCAGGATACAAAATCAATGTACAAAAATCACAAGCATTCTTATACCCCAATAACAGACAGAGAGCCAAATCATGAGTGAACTCCCATTCACAGTTGCTTCAAAGAGAATAAAATACCTAGGAATACCACTTACAAGGGATGTGAAGGACCTCTTCAAGGAGAACTACAAACCACTGCTCAAGGAAATAAAAAAGGATAAAAACAAATGGAAGAACATTCCATGCTCATGGGTAGGAAGAATCAATATCTTGAAAATGGCCATACTGCCCAAGGTAATTTATAGATTCAATGCCATCTCCATCAAGCTACCAATGACTTTCTTCACAGAATTGGAAAAAACTACTTTAAAGTTCATATGGAACCAAAAAAGAGCCTGCATTGCCAAGTCAATCCTAAGCCAAAAGAACAAAGCTGGAGGCATCATGCTACCTGACTTCAAACTATACTACAAGGCTACAGTAACCAAAACAGCATGGTACTAGTACCAAAACAGAGATATAGACCAATGGAACAGGACAGAGCCCTCAGAAATAATGCCTCATATCTACAACTATCTGATCTTTCACAAACCTGACAAAAACAAGAACTAGGGAAAGGATTCCGTATTTAACAAATTGTGCTGGGAAAACTGGCTAGCCATATGTAGAAAGCTGAAACTGGATCCCTTCCTTACACCTTATACAAAAATTAATTCAAGATGGATTAAAGACTTACATGTTAGACTTAAAACCATAAAAACACTAGAAGAAAACCTAGGCAATACCATTCAGGACATAGGCATGGACAGGGACTTCATGACTAAAACACCAAAAGCAATGGCAACAAAAGCCAAAATTGACAAATTGGATCTAATTAAACTAAGGAGCTTCTGCACAGCAAAAGAAACCACCATCAGAGTGAACAGACATCCTACAGTATGGGAGAAAATTTTGCAACCTACTCATCTGACAAAGGGTTAATATTCAGAATCTACAATGAACTCAAACAAATTCACAAGAAGAAAACAAACAACCCCATCAAAATGTGGGCCAAGGAAATGAACAGACACTTCTCAAAAGAAGACATTTATGCAGCCAAAAGATACATGAAAAAATGCTCATCATCACTGGCCATCAGAGAAATGCAAATCAAAACCACAATGAGATACCATCTCACACCAGTTAGAATGGCAATCATTAAAAAGTCAGGAAACAACAGGTGCTGGAGAAGATGTGGAGAAATAGGAACACTTTTACACTGTTGATGGGACTGTAAACTAGTTCAACCATTGTGGAAGTCAGTGTGGTGATTCCTCAGGGATCTAGAACTAGAAATACCATTTGACCCAGCCATTACTGGGTATATACCCAAAGGATTATAAATCATGCTGCTATAAAGACACATGCACACGTATGTTTATTGTGGCAGTATTCACAATAGCAAAGACTTGGAACCAACCCAAATGTCCAACAGTGATAGACTGGATTAAGAAAATATGGCACATATACACCATGGAATACCATGCAGCCATAAAAAATGATGAGTTCATGTCCTTTGTAGGGACATGGATGAAGCTGGAAACCATCATTCTCAGCAAACTATTGCATGGGAAAAAAACAAACACTACATGTTCTCACTCATAGTTAGGAATTGAACAATGAGAAAACATGGATACAGAAAGGGGAACATCACACACCGGGGACTGTTGTGTGGTTGGGGGAGGGGATAGAGATAGCATTAGAAGATATACCTCATGTTAAATGACGAGTTAATGGGTGCAGCACACCAACATGGCACATGTATACATATGTAGCAAACCTGCACGTTGTGCACATGTACCCTAAAACTTTAAGTATAATAAAAAAATTAACAGGGGCCTTTTATACAGATAAATTTGATTTGCATCATGATCAGCACTAAAGAGCATCACAGATTTAAACCATATTTACACAGTTAAAACAATGTAACCAAATATGCAATATATTATGAAACATTGTACAAGATGCTTTTCAAACATGCAAATTGACCTTTAAAACAATTTTACATAAAATAACATTTTTTAGGTAAGAGAAAAGACAGACATGTGGTTAGGGCAACATATTTCTGCTCAAATTACAAATTCCTGAATGACAAATCACAGGATAGAAAAAAATTATATTGTACCTGGAATTTGAAGTCTTCAGATTTATTTAGATATATGTATCTATATGTATTAATAGAGACATATTAGTTTAGAACAGTTATATTTTGAAGATGTCATTCTTTAAAAACTATTAATATCTACAGGATTGCTGCAGATATTTTAATTTTAAACAAATATTTTTCACCAATGTGACCAGTATTTATGTCCTATTTTATTAAACAGACATTTCAAGATTCTTTTAGAGTTAATTTTTAAAAATTAAGCATCACAAATACTTCTGAAGTACTACCATAAAAAAAAACCCTTTTCTGGCTTTTCATATAGTTAAACATTTTCATAATGACTAAAAAGGTAAAAATAAAATAACAACCATAATTAAATTAGAATTCTACTTTTTATATCAGATGAAATACTATATAAAATGTCCAGAAAATCTAATGTTAATGAGGCTGTGCAGCCTGGACTTTTGATGTCTCATCTGTGGGAAAGTGAACTAACCCAACCATTCTGAATAATTATTAGCTCTGTGTGTTAACAGTCTAGAGTCCTGAAACAAGGATCTTAATTCTAAAATCAAATCCCACTCTAAGAATATACCAAGGGTTGATAATGAAGTTTCAAAGTTATAGAGAAGAACCTTCATCCTAGCATTATATATGTAATCATCCATATAAACCAGATAGTGTCGAATGAAACTGCAGAAAAACAAAGAGCCTACAGAATATGTTTCTCTTTGTGTACAACTGTAAATGTACACATCTATCCATGTAAAATTTCACATCTCAGGAAGATAGGTACCAACATGCTAACATGCTATATCTATAAGATAAGAAATATTACTTTTCTACAATTTCATACACACACACACACTCACACACACTTACACACACACCGAGGATATATACGCACACAAATATATATATAAACATACATGTTTATATAGGTACACACACACATACATATACACAGATGGTCAACAACTTATAATGGTTCAATTTATTATTTTTTTTTTACTTTATGATGAAGTAAAAGTGATAGCTTTGAATAGAATATAACTATTCTGCTTTTCACTTTCAGTACAATATTCAACAAATTACATAAAATATCCAATACTTTATTATAAAGTGGGTTTTGTGTTCAGTGATTTTGCCCAATTGTCAGCTGATGTAAGTGTTCTGAGCACATTAAAGGTATGCCAGGCTAAGCTGTGATGTTCAGTAAGTTAGGTATTAAATACATTTTTACTGACTCTATTTTCAATTTATGATCAGCTTATCAAGACTTAACCCCATTGTACATTGAAAAGCATTTGTATTGCATTAAGCATGTTATATAATATTTTTTAATTGAAATTACTGGCAACTTTTGAAAAAATTAAATGAAATAATGTGCTGTGCTATTGGCTAAAATGTTTTTGGGCAGGGTCAGTGGCTCACACCTGTAATCCCAGCACTTTGGTAGGCTGAGGTGGGCAGATCACTTGAGGTCAGGAGTTTGAGACCAGCCTGGAAAACATGGTGAAAACCCATCTCTACTAAAAATACAAAAATTATCTGAGTGTGGTGGCATGTGCCTGTAATCCCAGCTACTAGGTAGGCTGAGGTGTGAGAATTGCTTGAACCAGGCAAGCAGAGGTTGCAGTGAGCAAAGATCGTGTCATTGCACTCCACCCTGGGCAACAGAGTAAGGGTCTGTCAAAAAAAAAAAAAAAAAGAAAGGAAGAAAAAAAGAAAAAAAAGTTTTTAGCTTCAAGTAACAGAATAGTCAACTAATTGTAGAAAAAAATACGTAGCAACTTTGACCAAATCGCACAACAAATAGATGGTATCAATGTTTAGTTAATTCAACATGATCCACTTCTTTGTGATTCTCTTATCTTTCTACCTATGTTTTCAAGATGGATATGGCATTCCCAGCCTTACAACTTCATGTGAAAAAATCCAATGGCAGGAAAGAATAAGTGACGGCATTTTGGAACTTTAAGGAAAAACTTTAAGGATTGGAAAACAGGGATGCCATAAGTCCAGTAACATGGGATAGCCGCTCCTAATCAAGGATGGCTGTATGTCCTGAATGACTTTCTAACGTAATGAAGGTGAATAACCTGCTTTGTTTAATTATACAATCCCAAATGTAACTGCTTAGTGCCAAGTACTTTTGCATGGTTTTAATATGCCATGAATTTTGCAGGAATGAAACTACTATGTATATGAGAAAAGACGGTAGATTTTTTCGTTTAGATACTCATTTCAGAGTCTCAATAGGAAAAAGAGAACACACACAAACTAAGATAATTTAACATGGGTTTATTTCCAAAGAGACTACTTACGAAAATATCAGGGGAGAAGGGTGAAGGAATCACAGAAATCACACCCCAAAATATCTCTGGGTTAGTAGCGGCAGGCAGAGTCCTGGGGAGTAAACTGCCCTGATCACACAAGGAAAAACTAATTTTCGTATGAAAAAGATTGGTGAAGGAGACCTGGCAGAGAGGGAGTTTAGGCAATAACCCCCAATCCCATTTCCTCCTTCCCTTTAATCTCATGAACATGCGTAGAAGGCAATGAGCAAGAGAACCGATTGAGATATTCAATATGGACCATTCCACTTGGACAAAAGCCAGTAAATAGGGGAGTATAACAGGGGACAAGGGGCAAACAGAAAGTATCTATTACATTTACCAATGCAGATCAATCATGTCAACAATAGAAATCGCAGTTTTGGCATTTGGTTATTCAATGAAACTATATTTGTGGCTTTTTATTTACAATGTTTCAAGGTATGGGCGAAGATATGAAAATTTCATTATGTTCTATTGTATTTGATATGTAAATGTTCTGGCACAATTATATACATTTTGGATTATATATTGACAGTAAATTATTTCTCCTTTGTTAGCTTCAGCATAACATTAATATTTTCAACAACTTGAATGCATACATTGTGTTCTCACTAATAGTTTAGAATAATGAAGGGGTCTTTGAAGAATTTCTTATGAAGTAGAGGCATTGGCTCAGACAGAGCCAAAAACCATTGGCTTAGATTAATCACTATTTATCCTAGGGCTGAAGAGGGCCAATTGAAGAAACAAATGTCCAATCCCTCAATGAGGTGGGAGTTCTATGAAGCAGAGAAATAGAGACTGGTTCTTAAGGAGGTAATAAGTGTGCCTTCTATGGTTTATGATAATATGCATTGTCTTAACAATCGAATACTTAAAAGTTAATGCCCTCATAATATGCAAAATTTTTAACAAGCACATTTGTTCCTGTGTTCAAGTAGTTGGTAATCAAATTAGTGAAGTATGATAAGTCTTTTGAAGAGCATTAAACAGCAGAGAATGTAAGAAATTTGTCTCTATAATAGTGTGGACCTTCTGTGTTTCCTAAGGGCACATTCATATGATCTAATAACTGAGCAGAGAGAAGCCTAAAGGATAGTTTATGGCTTCATTTGTTTGTTTTTGCCAATTAACATACATTTCTACATTAAAAGTCAACTATCTTTTCCTTGGGAGTCAACTATAGGAGAAGATAGTGAAGAGGCAAGGAAAATTACAGCAGCTCAACAGCTTTACCCTGGAAATATCTGTATTGTGTACTGCTATAGCCTACCTTTATCAGTCAGATAACAATGTCAAAGAGGCAAGTTTGGCACCATTGCTCTTAGTGAATCCCTGCTGCCAGCCTTTTATCCTAAGTGCTCTCAAAAGACCCATTTAATGGACCTTCCTGAAATTGTGCTCAGGATCAATATGAGGCTCATTGATACAGCATTTTTGGAACTCAGCATTTGCTTATTTATTAAACCTGGGATAGTTGCCCGACTTCTATCATCTGAAACACTCTCCATGAGTTTCAAAATTACCAACATTGGTTCCAACATCATTCCTAGAAAACATTTCAGTGGAGTATATTTATCTGACATTTGACTGTATTTATAGCAGTAAGAATCTATGATGATTCCTCCCAAAATAATCCCACAATTACACATTTTGGGTCACTTTTGAGGGTCTTACCCTTAATATCAGAGATCAGAGATCTGTTCCATATATTTGAGTCTTAGAAATAATTACTAGCTTCTCTCTGAATTTAACTGAAGTTCCTTACTTTTATTCAGCCTGTTACCCAAATTACATAATGTATTGAAGGCTAAAAACTGTCCAAATTTCTGATTACATTGAGTTAAAAATGGGAATATGACTTTTTCTTTTTCTAACTTGGCAAAGATTGTGTTTTTTTATGAAGAAATATAGGCATAATTTAAACACTCAGGATCTGAGAATTTGAAATACATGAAACTTAGCAAGTGGTCTTTAAGTAGTTTTCATTTCTAAATTATAGTACATACCATTGAATGCTATAGAAGAAAAGACAATGAGGGATTACTCATAAACATTGCCTTTATGATATCCTTCCAAAGAAAACCAAGTGTCCCTGTGCTTGGACTCATAAAGCAGAAAAGCTTACCTTGCTTTTATGTCACTAACAAACAATTGTGCCTAGTCATTTAATTCTAACGCATTTAAGCCATCTTGGGAGTAGAGCCCCTAGGGAAAACTACAAATGGAAAATTCATTGATTTTTCATTTTGCTTTCCTATGGATTAAATTTAACACTTTCTTGTAAATCTCTCCCTTTGCAGATCATATGTGATAAATAGTTATCCAACTTTGTAGATGTCCACCCAGAGCTGCTTCCATATGAAGAGGTGGAAACGGATTCTGTGCATGATATTGTTTAGGATTGGGAACTGTTTTTTTTAAAGGAGATTTTTAAAATTTGTTTTCCTTGTACACATAGCCATAATATTGTGTTGCTAACTGCCCTCTGGGAACAAAGTCATACCAATCACAAATATATTGCCTAAAGCGGGAGGCTTATTACTCTGTTGTGAATTCCATCTCCTATTATGTTTTAAAGATGCTACAAACTTGAGACATTACTATGTAGATGAGATTCCCAGCAAATCCCCCAACAACACTTAATGAGATTTCACATACCAGGATCATGAAACAGTAAAAGATATAAGGAAATAAAGAAAAGCACAGTATATGTGTAGAAGGCATTAAAACACAAATTTTATAATTATGAATGCATATAATAAGGAACAAGTTTTATTCTAAATAGCAATTAAATCAGAACTACAATACAGGGAATAAAAGTGAATATTAAACCATTGTACCGACAATAACAGAGCCCTTTTTCTGCTGCGTGATGGAATTTAGTGTTTACTAAGGAAGAAAAAAAATGCAAGATATCTTATATTTGGTACTTTCCAACAAATTTAAGAAATGTGTACACACTTGAGGAGACTTAAGAAGTCTCTGACTAAAACACTAGAAAAGAAAAGCAGTGAAAAGCCAAATAACTATTACTCAACAATAACATTTGTTACTATTATATTAATATTAAACACACTATTAGGCAACAACATTTCAGTTACTCACTGAGCCCAAAGTCATTTTTCATGAACCATTCACAACACTGATAACCTATTGAAAAATGATTGAAAACAAAAAACTTATTGCTTTCCAAGTCCTTTTAAAGCCTTCTCATGTGTCATTTCATATAATACTTATAAAGAATCTATGGAGTATATACTGACTTTATCTCTGTACAGAAAAGAAAACTGAGTCATATTCAGAATAAGTTGCAAAGTTCCCCAGATAATCAGTGTCCTGGGTGAAATTTTACATCACAGTGTACTCAAGTGTAATTTAGGGAAGCAGTACAAATGACGGCTGAAAGCACAGGTTCTGGGGTAAATAGCCTGAAGTCAAAATCTAGTTCATATCCTCAGTGGCTGTGTGATCTTGGGAAATTTCCCTTAACTCTCTGTGTCTTGGTCTTATAGTTTCATCCATTATTGCCTCTCATATGAGAGGTGAGCATTACACTAGTTTATGCTTCTAGGACACTGAAAACAGTACCTGGCTCTTGATAAATATTAACAATTTTGTTTCATTTTCTTCACCTTGAGTATTTCATGGCCAGATGGAAATCAATGTCAATATGAAAAAATGTTCATAATTCAACAGGAAGAAATACAAAACCATATAAACAACTTTGTTTTACTGGCAAGTGTATTTGGAAGCTATGTTAAATTGAGAAGGGGAAGGGAAAGCCTCTAAGGGCATCGATTAATCAATGACCAAAAGCTGATGAGACTTGTCTGGAGTTTTTTTTTTGGAGACTCTGAGACTTAAAATTTCGACAAAATAAGGAGATGAATTGAGTAGTGTGGAAGAGACATTTTCTGAAGTCAACAGAGAAAGGAGAGACAAATATGGTAAGGGGAAAATGGTATGAAGTAATAATATCTATGAAGTGCTTTCTAAAGTATAACACATGTAAATTGTGTTAAATGTAAACTATCATGATTATATCATTACTGTCTGACTGATACAACTATATCCACCTCAGTTAGCCACATAAGATCAATTTTCCTATACCTTAGAGAATACCAGTAACCTCCAGTTCAGAAACAGCATAAATATCTATCCACAGCTGAGCAGACACATACAGCTAGCTACCAGATGAAATGGGCCATATCTTCAAATACTATTGTTTTCCATTTTTTAATTGTGGCAAAACACACTCAACAATTTGCATCTTAACCACTGTTAAGTATACAATTCAGTGTCATTAAACGTATTCACAATGTTGTGCAAGCATCACCACCACCCATCTCCATAATTCTTTTTGTCTTTTGTCACCCATTAAAAAGTGACTCCCCATTCCCTGCCCTCCCAGGGCAACTACAGCTTTACTTTCTGTCTTGATGAATCATATAATATCAAATGCAATTTTTAAGATATTTAAAATATTTTGTCTGGAAGCAAAGTGGAAGTTAATATCAATGGTTATGCCTTTAGTGAGTTCTCAGACCACATTACAATGTAGTTAACTATTTATCTTTTATTACTTTCTAGACCTATTATTTCTTTCTGGTTCAAAAATATCTTCTTTGTAGATTATGGCATTTACCTCTATCTCCACACCTTTTTGCGTCTCTCATCCACAGATCATCAGCCTCTTGCTTAGTCTTCCATTTAATGACAAATTCTATTTAGTATACAACAGTCCTTCCCCCTGCAAAGCAATTTCTTCACTCTGAAAAGCTCTGAATCTGGCTAATGGTCTCTGTTATGTACTCATCCCTAGAGCCATGTCTTCAAATATTTCTCAGAACTTCTTCACATCTAAAAATCTAGGATTAATTTATTGCTCTCTGATTATATTCTTCTGGTATTTCAAGTATCCTGTATAACTTCTTCATCTGCCCTTGCTTTTCTTCTACATCAAGATGTCAAGTTCATGGACTTCCCAATTAATCATTTTAAAAATTTATTTCAAGCCTTTATGAGTCACTACAATATACATATGTTCTCAGGCATTATGGCCCTACAATTTGTATGTGAGAATAGTTCCTGTGTCAGGCATTATGGACATAAGAGAAAATAAATTCTAGCCCCTGCCTACAAGGAGCTAATTCCCAGCCTAAGACAGATTGCAAGCCAATAATATGCAGACTTGTAAGTCTAAGGAAACTGATTGGGATGTACCTAATTCGAGCTGGGAATATCAGAAGAAAAACTTATTGAAAGTCATGAGACATGAGCTGTGCCTAAAAGAATGAAAAATAGAGAGAGAAATAAGAAGAAATAAATTAGGGAATGAGGTGGGTATAATAGTAGAAAAAGGAAATCTCTTTAGATAAAACAGGGTATGAGAGTATATAAGAGGCTTATTAACTCAGTGTGGTTGGAGAAAATAGGTTGAAAGGAGAAATAGGGGAGAAAGTTCCAAAGGGAATCAAACGTGTTAATAGTTGAGGGAAAAGGAAATATTGAATACGACCCATAGATCTTGGATAACCCAGTGTTTGGTAGTAGCTTACATAAAAGGTTGTGACAAAATAACCAGAGGTATGCAGAGAAAATAATAACTGAGTGTCATATTTCCTCTCAGTAGAAACCTAAAAATGAAATGTAATCACACACTGATCTTTTAACTGACCTCCACTTATCTTGCTGCCTGGATTGGTATACATATTCCTCTGCCTGAAAAATTGCTCAAAACTTTTGAAAGGTTGTTTCTCACTGTTACACCCAGGCATTTCTGCTAACACCAGCTGAGTTGTAAGGGGCCCTCCAGGAGGCCTAGGTTGTTCTCCTTATCACATACATTATTTCCATTTATCAATTTACCCAGAACATCTAATGAAATATTATGGACACCAATAACATGAATACAAATATAGCTATAGACCCTAAAAAGTAAATTGATGTCTCTTGAAAGGCTGTCATGTCTTAGATGCTTAATTTGGAGTATGTGTTTCTAATAAATAAATAGCTTGCTTTAATCATTCTCATTTATGAATGTAATATAGGGGAGCAGCTTTGATTTCACCCTTAATCTTAAAAAACAATTAGCCGGGTGTGGTGGTGGGCACCTGTAGTCCCAACTACTCAGGAGGCTGAAGCAGGAGAATGGTGTGCACCTGGGAGGCGGAGCTTGCAGTAAGCCAAAATTGTGCCACTGCACTCCAGCCTGAGTGACAGTGCGAGACTCTGTTTCAAAAAAAAAAAAAAAAAGATCATACAAGGAGTAAATGATGATTTAGCATAAAACACAACTTTGGCCTAAAACACAGTTCATAGGGCTCAAACTTTGTTATTTTATGGGATTATACTAACCAGTTAATATTCAAAATTTACCATTTCAAAAGAAGAAATATTGGCCTGGGAAAATTGCCATTGCTTATACAGAAGAATGGAGGAATCTTTTTGAGCAAAACAATTCTAATGATCTTCCTCATCACTGGTTCAAAAACCAAGCCCATGGAAGGTCTGCATAGGGATAATGTGGAGAACATGCAAAAGAAATACACATCACCAGCTCCTCAACTCAGAGCTCCAAGGGAATGGCCAAGGAAGCGGTATTGTCCTAAGAAATTTGAGACTGTTTTGACTTACATTAAATCCTGCTCAATCATATGTATATACAAACACACACACACACACACACACACACACACACACACACACAGACGTGTTGTCAGTGAAGCCTCTAACAATGCATCTTGACTGGACAGATTTGACAATTAAAATGCTGGAAGAAAATAGGGCTTCATAAGTGGCACTTACTATTCACATTACGCATTAAAAGGACATCTCGTAAATTAAATCTTGTTTATGATAAAAAGGCAGAAAATCATGACCCAAGGCTAGTTTATAACTGCAGAAATGTTCAAGATAGACCAATGCTTGCTATGTTTAGGAACTGACAAGAAAGTACAGGTCTTTATAATCTACCATTTTGCATCATTTGATACCAGGTGACCTTCATACTGCAGGCAATAGAGAATTGCAAGATTTGTCAGAGATTTCAGGTTTTGGAAAGCTATGCTCTTTCACAAGAACAGCCATGGAAACAGGAAGAAAGTCAATTCCCACTTAAGGTAATCAGAATTTACAAATATTCATTTCTTCATTGAAATCTCAATAGGCACTTAAATATTATCTTTAATTAATTCTTTTGTTACAATCATGCATCACATAACAACATTTTGGTCAAGGATAGTGCACATGTATGACAGTGGTGCAATAAAATCATAACACTGTACTTTTACTGTACCTCTTGTATGTTTAGACATGTATAGATACACTTACTGTATAGATACAAATAAGTATAGATATACTTAACTGTTGTGTTACAATTGCTTACAGTATTCAGTACAGTAACATGCTGCACAGGTTTGTAGCCTAGGAGGAATAAGCTATACCACTTAACCTAGGTATGTAATCAGCTATAGCATCTAGGTTTGTGTAAGTAAACTCTGTGATGTTCATACAATAATAAAATTGTCCAGCAATGCATTTCTCAGACACACCCCTGTCATTAAGTGACACATGACTGTATTAGTTAACACTATGGGAACTGCATGGGAAATGGACACTGCAGCTTCACCATTAATAGAAACTGTTTATGTCAAAAAACACATAAAAGCATAGTTGCAAGATTACAATTCCTTCCAGATATTTCATTTAGTATCTCCACAGATCACTCACTGCCTGAATAGCATTCTTGTGTCTCCACTGCCTCACATTTGATTTCAGGTCATTCCATCAATTGTCAAAGATGCATCCAACATTAACTTTCCAACTACTGGTTTGGATTCTGTCAACATTGTCATCCTGGGCCACAACAACACAAAAGGCTAACTCAGTGAGGTAACATAGACACTGATCAGTGAGATTTTGCTGATGGGTGGTACCATTTTTTACTAAGATCAAGGGTATTCATACCTTCAGGCATCTAGATAACATTGAAAAGGGCAGGTTCATAGATAAAAAAGGAAAGAGGAAGGGTTTTTGCAGTATACATGAGCTACCGTGTCTCCTGTTTAACCTGAGTCTGAAGAGATTCAAAGTGCAGGTGCCATGAATGCCTCTTTAATAGTTCAATGTCGATTGATTTTCTGGGCTACATTTCCCAGCATTCAAATTGCTAAGTGCATATAAACTACCACTGAATATTTATTACCTGGATTTGTGCTTTTGAGTGACCTTATCTATAGTTATGTTCTTCAGTGATCCAACTTGGGGTGGACTACAACCTTTGATAAATTAAAGACCCTACTTATTCCTTGAGTAATGTTACACTGACAACTGATTTAGTGAATGCCATTGTGAAAATAATAAACCTCTTGGTGAATATATTTAGACATGTCTTGTAACCTGTACACATCTTAACCAGGGATGTTACTTGGTCTTTCTATGTTCAGGAGTGTGTGGAGATAGAAAAACATACAGGATTGTAATTGTTTCCTGTGAGACTAACAGAAAATTCAAGCTAGTGAAGTATGTTTATGCATGGCACACTTCTCACCAGCAATTTTAGGAAGTTCTACCCACAACCCATATGTCTTTTGATATGTGTGTTACCTTGGAGAGAGAAAAAGAAACTCTGAACACAAGCATGAAATATTTTAGAATTTTATCTAGAGCTGGACTTGTCCAAAAGCTTTTGTATAAACTTACTTGATGAGCAACTGTTGTCCACTGGTACCTTCACTGTACAATCCACACACAACCAAACTTCACAACTGGACACCTAAATTTGAACTTTGTTTGGTAAAGTTGAATGAAAAATATTGTCTTTTAAGCTTATGTTCTCTTATGAAAGCTGTTATTAGATGAATTTTACTCCAAGATATGCCACTTAGGAAATAACTTCCAATTTAATTTCACCAGCTCCCTGTGGGTGGACTAATTAGTCATACATCACACTTACTCTGGTGGTGAAATGCCTCAAAATAAGGTCTCCAGAGTGTTGCTCTACCTAGAAGGACAAGAATGAAGAGACATAAAAATCATTCATTAAGAAGGAAGATTTTCCTTGCCTAGATTTTCACTTGTAGGATCCAATTAATTTTATCACTTAATATTTTTTCCTGGTGGGCATTCATTTTACAAATTTGTAAGGTCAGTAGAAATGGAAACTTTTGGAAATCGAACTGTAAATGTTCTGTAGACGTTGACAGAAATAGCTATTTGGAGCTGTGCTTTTGCCAACTAGACACTGTTAGAAAATCTGTGAGAGGATATTTTCAGGAAGTCATTGAACCCCCTAAAAATCAAGTTTATTGCTTTTACCATAAATATAAATAATTAATTTATTATCAACCACTTTCAATATTCCAATAAGTAACCTTTATTGTTTATTTCATTGACATGACCTATATAGACACACAATTTATCTTCTTTTGTGATACATTCAGAAAATTTGCTGCCTGGAAAAGCCATGTTTTAAAATTACCACCTGTTTGATGACTTTTTTTTGTACTTTAAGTTTTAGGGCATATGTGCACAACCTGCAGTTTAGTTACATATGTATACATGTGCCATGTTGGTGTGCTGCACCCATTAACTCGTCATTTAGCATTAGGTATATGTCCTAATGCTATCCCTCCCCCCTCCCCCACCCCACAACAGGCCCTGGTGTGTGATGTTCCCCTTCCTGTGCCCATGTGTTCTCATTGTTCAATTCCCACCTATGAGTGAGAACATGCAGTGTTTCATTTCCACTTAAGTATCTATCTCTATTTGTCCTTTATTTTCACTTCCATCCTAGCTCTATCCCTTGTCTCCTTCGTGTGTCTCAGGATAAGTGCCCTATAATATTTTATATTTCTGGAAACCCTTCAATATAAAGTTATTACATGTAAAAATAAAAAGTCTGTTTTAGCGAACTTTTTCTTCACAAATTATATTTTCCTACTTCCCTATTAGACAATTTTTGTAGGCTCCATATGCTATTAATTTATATTCACTTTTAGAAGAATTTTCATCAAAAGCAAAAGTCTTATGTAAATTGATTATATGCTATTTCTACTTCTATGTATATATACGCACATAGCCACATACATATATGTAACTCCAGAGGCCTGCCTGGACTGTTTGATAACTGTATTGAACAACAGCAAGAAAAAGCTGTTCAAATTTCAAACAACAAGTTGAACTGAAGACCTCACATCTTTGAATTAAATAGACACTATTAGCCTTTAAAAATTAAACATTTCTACTGTTTTAAAAAATTATAGCCATCATAGTATGAGGAAAAAATGTAATAATCTTTTTTAATTCTTGCCATTTTATTAACCACGGACTCCTTATGCCGTAACTTCATTGGTACCCCTTTGAGATTAAACAGAACACTTAATTTAAAATTCTGATAAATAAATTAATTACACCATTTACTTGAGGTACTCTTTCACCTTTCAAGAAATATTTTGAGAATTCATTAGCTAAATATTGCTATAATGCAGGCTAGTAATAAACAGAAAGAATGAATTCATTGTAAAGTTTAAACTAATGATGGTATGATCTGGAATTTTTGTTAACTTAGAAGACATAATTAGCTTTAGAGGTGAAATGAAAGACAAAATCACTTCACATATTAGTAAAAAACAAATAATATAACTTTATAAGCTACTGCTGTTCTTTTGCTATTAAGAATCAATGACATCTGTAATTAGGGAAGATTATGGAAAGGTTAAAGATGAGAATACATGCAGTCTATCTACAGGAAACCTAAACTGTTTAGGTTAAGGAAATGTTTGAGAAAGTCATATTAATTAGCAGGTTCACAGGAAACTAACATTTATTGTATAAATTGCATGGTAAAATGTATTAGGGCTCCATGCACACAACTATGTGCCATCTACGTTACCACACGGTGCTTACTTCTTTCAGTCTTTATTCATTTCTCTCCTAATGGTCTGTATGGTATTATTACATAGTTCTAAAAACCTTCCATGAGGCAGAAATTTCATTTAATCATATAGCTTCAAAAATAATGAAAAACAGTAGAAAATTTCTATTTTTTTATGAAGCAGAATTGTTGAATTTTCAGTTTCATTTATTTAATATTACAAGATGACAAACATATTTCTTTAACTCCATCTTTTTATTTTTGTCTAACATCAACCACAGCCATTTCTTTCATTTGAAGTTGAAAACTGCTCATCAAAATCCAGTTTAAGCTGAGAAACAAAGAACTAAATTTTGCATGAGAGATTATACACTGCATAAGTAAAAAACAGGACCAGAAACAATGGTGGATTAGCAATTTTTAAAAAGACAAAAGCAGGTTATCATCAAATCAATTGTTACCAACACACCAATTCCACCTCTAGGCCAGAAAATTAGCCACTTACCCATGGGAAAACAATGATTGAAGACAAAGTTCACCAGTGAAAGTTGGTTATTTTTTTCCATCCTTGCATCAACTAAAATGATATCTACAGTTCCTCTTAACACTTTTCTGAGTTTCAAATATGTGGGTATGCTTCATTAGCTGAAGCCATTTTCCATATGTACATCTGGCTACAAGGGAAACTGGGAATGTGAGCCCTGATCCTAATGTTTGTAGAGTATTTAGAAATTTGAGAATTCCCTCCAAATAAAGAGTTTTTTAAAACATTGTTAGACAAAAAGTTTGAATTACAAAATGTGGTAGTAGCTCAGGTCTAACTCAAATGCAGGGAAAAAAACTATTAACTGTAAAAAAAATTAAATACACATTTGATGGCAATGAGAAACAGAAAACAGGCAGAAATAGTAGAATATTCAACCACTGATGAAGTATTTGACCATTGAATAAAGAAAATTGCAATGATTTAAATTTGCATCAGTGCAACTTCACACCTCATGACGCTTCCCAGTCTGTGCAAAATTAGATGTCTACGAGTAAAGTGGTGAGTTTTACTAGCTTGAGGAATAAGAGCACAGAGTTCCAGGCTGACAGAAAAGAAGAACTGGGAAATTTGAATGACATGGGAGGAAATCTCACACAACTGAAAGTCACAGAGGAGAATGTCACAGAGTAAAAATCTAAAATCAGCACTTCAACTTCATTCAGATATATGATGGCTGCTACATTTCACATTCATAAAAAGAGACTCCATAGAATCCAGCAGAAAACAACAGCTAAATTGCTAGTAAAGAGCAGAGATTTCAACCATTGCATATAGCTCAGGAGTGAAAGTTTGGTGTTTGACTACAGAAAAAAGACTAATGTTAGAAAAGAGTCACTCTTCAAACGAAAATAGAAGAACCTATCTCTACAAAATATCATACACATAATCTAACATATAATTTAACCTGCCTAGACATAAAACCAGGAAAATATGACACATAACAAAAAAAGTAAACAATGGATTAAGACAGTGAAATGGCCCACATGCTGGGATTAGAAGATAAGAAATTTAAAATAAGCTATTGCAAGCATATTCAAGGATTTAAGGAATAGATGGTCATAAGAGGGAATATATGGAGAATCTCAACAGAGAAGTAAAAACGATAAAGAGATAACAGGACAAATTTTAGAACTGAGAGACTGAATATCTTATATAAAAATGTCATTGTATGCATATACCAGTAAATGAAAGATGGCAGAAAAAACTATCAGTGCACTTAAAAACAGATCAAGAACAATTTCCCAATACAGTTAATACAAAGGAAGAAAAATAATAAAAATAGGGCCAGTCTAGCACTAATATAATTGGACTCCTAGAAAGAGTAGAGAAGAAAATCAGACAGAAAAAGCTATTTGAAAAACTAAAGACCAAAAGTTTTCCTAATTGTCAGCATATATCAATTTACAGGCTTAAGAAACTCAAAGAACAAAATAAAAATAAAGAGAACCAAATGTAGACATACCATAGTCAAACCACTGGGCAAAAAAAGAGTAAATCTTGAAAGTAGCTAAAGGGAGGGAGAAAATAATTTACATACGTGGAAACAAATAGACAGAGGACCTGTCATCAGAAATGACACTTTAAAAAGCAATGAAACTACATCTTCAAAATAAAAGAAAACTGTCAACTCCAAATTCTATAACTAGAAAAAGTAATTCTTGAGAAAAGAAAGATTTATTCAGATAAAAGAAAGCTTTGAACAATTGTCATTAGCAGACTTAGATACAAGAAATGCAAACGGAAATTTTTTAGGCTAAAGAAAGATAACAACAGATGGAAATTCTGACCTACAGGAAGCAAGGAGAAGCTCTAGGAATGGCATGTGCATAAACATGAAAAACTAAGGCTTTTTTCTTTTAGTTTTATAACAAACAACTGATGGTTTGAATAAAAAATTAAGTGTACTATTGATAATGTATGTAAAATATTCTAAATTAATAGCTCTGACAGAAGACTAAACGCAACAATTTTGCCGCAACTTTTCTTTATGTTACATGAAAACGCTGACTATTAATACTAAGTGGACTGCGATAAGCCCAGGATATTTATTATAATCCCTAGAGAACCACCACATTATATGAAGATATTCTTCTAAAATGCCAATAAAGGAATTAAAATGGAACCCTGAATATTGTTCAGTTAATATAAAAAGGCATGAAAGAAGAACAGAGGAGCAAAAAATGATGGAACAAATAGAACGTAAGAACAAAATAGGCTGGGTGCAGTGGCTCAGCCTGTAATCCCAGCACTTTGGGAGGCCGAGGCGGGTGGATCACGAGGTCAGGAGATCGAGACCATCCTGGCTAACACGGTGAAACCCCGTCTTTATTAAAAATACAAAAATTAGCCGGGCATGGCGGCGGGAGCCTGTAGTACCAGCTACTCCAGATGCTGAGGCAGGAAAATGGCATGAACCCGGGAGGCGGAGCTTGCAGTGAGCCGAGATCCCACCACTGCACTCCAGCCTGGGTAACAGGACCAGACTCCGTCTCAAAAAAAAAAAAAGAAAAGCAAAAATAGTAGGCTTAAATCCAAACTTTTCAATAATTATTTCAAATGTAATTTAAATACTCCAAATAAAACACAGATTGTCCAACTGGCTAATAAAAGTACCTATAAGAGATGCATGCCAAATATTATGGTATAGATAAGTTGAGAGTAAAATAATTTCCAAGTATACCAAGGAAACAACAAGCAAAAGCAATCTTATGTGGCTATATTAATATAAGAAAAAGTAGACCTCCAAACAAGCAATATTACAACAGACAGCTATTTCATAATGATAAAATAAGTAATTATGAAGACATAATGCTGTATTGCTGACAGAATAACTAAAGAAAATTAAGATAAAATAATTTTGACAACAGCTTGACCTAATCGATATTGACCAAGACAATAGAATATATGTTCTATTATGCTACACATGAAACATTTATCAATAGGCTATAGACCACAAAATATCTCTCAAGAAGTTCCAAAACACTGTAATCATAGAAAGTATGCTTTCTGACCATAATGAAAATGAGTTGAAATGGGTAAAAACAAGCTACCCAGGAAAGTCTACACTATTGGAAGATTTAAATACATCTTAAAATGCCCTTTAGCTCAAGGAAGAAATCATAAGAAACACCTTTAAATACATTGAACTGAATACAAATAAAAATATACTATATCAAAATGTATGGGATAAAGTTAAGCAGACCCAGAGTAAATTTTTTGTATAAATGCTTATTCTAAAAAAGAGAAGTTCAAAACAAGTGAACTAATTTTCTACCTTAAAAAGAAAATCTAAAACAAGAGAGCAAATTAAGTCCAAAACAAGTAGAAGAAAAGAAATAAAACAGAAATTAGAAATCAATGAGACAGAAAACAGAAACAGGAGAAAATCATCATGACCAAAAGTTAGTTCTGTGAGAAAGAAAGAAAACATAAATTATAAATATCATGGATTAATGAGACTGTACAGTTGTAGAAAAAAGAGACATTAACAAGATAATGGAATATTGTGAAACATTTTATACTAATTTTCATTACTTGGATGAAAGGGTGAATTCCTTGAAAAAAACTTATAAAAAAATTCACAAGATTAAATGGAACATATGAAGTAATTGACATTTATTAAAGTAATTAAATTAATTGTCAAATACCTGCACATAAAAACATAAAACTAAAGAAATAAAAAAATAAGCAAACTCCACATCCAAAGAGTTTTGCTGGTGAATTCTTTCAAAGGTTTAAAAAAAATAAAATTTTTAAATTATTTCAGAAATAAAGAAGGGGGAAATTCCAAACTTTTTTTATGTGTCAGAATCCTGATAGCAAAACTACAAAACCCAGGAATGCAATATTGATTTCAACTTAAAGGGCTATCACCATTCTAATCTGTGATTCTAATGAATTTGGCTATCTTAGATACTTTATACAAGTGGAATCATACAGTTTGTCCTTCTGTGACTGATTTACTTTACTTAGCATTAATGTCCTCTAGGTTCATCCATGTTGCATATTGCCGGGCTTTCTTGTTTTAAAGCTGAATAATATTCCGTTGTATGAATATACCACATTTTCTTTATCTATTCATCTGCCAATAGACATTAACCTCATTTCCACATTTTGGTTAGTGTAAATAATGCTGCAATGAGCCTGAGAATCATCCCAATCTCAATTCTTTCAGAGAAATAACCTTAAGTGGATTGCTAGATCATATGGTAGTTCTAGTTTCTTAATTTTTTTGAGGAACCACCGTACTGTTTTCCATAGAGGCTGCACAGCTTTACTTTCCCAGAAACACTGTAGAAGTGTTCCAATTTCTCCCCATTGTTAACACTCGTTATCTTTTTCTTTTAATAAGACTATTCTAACAGGTTTGAGGCAATATCTCTTTGTGGTTTTGATTTGCATTTCCCTGATGATTAGTGAGGCTGAGCATTTTTTTCATGTATCTGTTGGTCATTTGGATATTTTCTTTGGAGAAATATCTATTGCTGATTTAAAAAAAAACTCTCAGCAAGCTAGAAAAGGAAATTTTCTCAAAGTGATGGAAAGCATCCACAACAAGACATATAAACATTATATTTAATGGTGAAAGTGTAAATATTTAAACTACATAGATTAGGACAAGAAAGGAATGTGTGTGTTCATCACCTCTATTCAACATTGTACTGGTAATCCTAGATTCTGAGTATAAATATTTAGGGGACAACTATTGTCACTGAAGCCCAAATCTTGGTCATCCTCAGAAAAAAGAAAAAAGTTGATTAGATTGTATATAATCTAATTCTACTTGCTAACTTAATTTCTCTAAAATTACAGCTTGCATCAACTCTAGAATTTATTGGGCACCTCCTAGGGCATAAACACTGGAATTTGGTGAGAGACATCAAATAGGAAAGAACCTGGCTCTGACATAAATTCAACACACGAAGGGGGACACATGTTATGAGACTGACCTGGCCTCTCCATCTCATAAAAGGGGTTCTTGTTGCTGGTAACACAGATTAAAACTATTTCAATTACATTCAAGATAAAAAGATTAGCAATGGTACGTAAGATGAAAAAATCACCCCACAGGAAGACAAAAGTCTTACAAAAGGATATTTAAACTAGCCAACCCTTTGAAATTCAGGCAGAGATCGTGCTTTCTGGGTGAACTAAGGTAGCAAGAACAAAGTAGAGGCTCCAATTCTAGGAAAAATGGGCCCTAATAAGGTTTACAATCCAGAAACTCAAGAAATCCAGACAGAAGGATGCAGTCTCCGCTTTCAAGGCAGTAGCAGTACCTGGATTACTAAGCCAATCCCCAACACAATCATAAACACAAATTTGATTGAGGAAGAACTTGCCCACCAGAAGACTTAGGTTATTACAAGGTAGAATGTGATAGAGAAAAAGAGCATGAGACTGGAAACAAAAGGAGGTAGCCCCATGATCACAACTGGAATATATCTGTCAGAGATGGTGCGGAAATAAGACTGAAGAGAGAGATCCTTAAACCCCACGTGCCTTACATCAGGACTAATCCTGGACACAGGCTGGAAAGCATAGCCTACAGGTGGTGAGGGAGGAGGAGTGGGCTCAGCTGTGAGAAGGAGAAGGAAATATGGCTGAAAACCAGATATGGGTCTTGAAATCACACCGAGGATTTGGGCCTTTGCTGCTGTCTGCCAGCAGCTGCCAGTAGTTCTCACACTTTGGCTGGCATCAAAATAACCTGGGGCAGTGGTGGGGAAGTGGGGGGAGTGTTGTAAAACTACAAGTGACCAGGAAAAAATCACCTGTATGTTTTCCAATTCAGTAAGTACAGAAATATTAATTGGAAAAAGGTGGAGATCAGATATTGCTAGTGCTGTGGACTGCTCCAGGGACATAAGCATGGTCTTTAGAGAGGTGACTCTAATCAGTTGAGGGCAACCACCGGACAGAAAGAGGTCCAGACTAACCGTACACAGAGACATCATACAACTACACTTTAGCAACTTCTCCAAATAACATGTCTCTTACTGAAACTTGGGAGGTTGAAAGTTAAAAACATAAAATCCAGTGGCATTTATGTATCCTAGGCACTTACATTTGTCTGATTCTTCCAACTTGCCTTTGCTTGGTTAGAGTTTTGGGTAGATAAGAGGTGGATTTACATGTGCTAGTGTGAGAACTTTGATACACTCATTTAGACATTGACCTACTATCTTGATGTTTGAAAGTTAAAACCCAAAGAAATTTGTCTTTTTAGATAAAACAAATTCAGCCCTTACCTTCCTTATCGATTACATCTTCCACTAACAGTAATAAAAAAGTAACAATATGCATAAGTCAAAATATCTTCTTAAATCTTCTGTAGTGTTTTATTATTTAGTTGTGTTAATTAAAGTAACTGTCTCAAAATTTCAAGGAATGCCTGAGAATAAATTCATGTTCAAAGGTTGCCCTCTTGTGACAATGTGTTGTATGTTTTACTGTAAAAGTAATCTTATTTTACCTTATAACCTCTACAATCCAATTCGTAACAGCATAAAAGGGAAATAAAGCCTTACATAATTTTGAATTTTGAAAAGTACCTTGTTTATATGGTTCCTTTAGCTAATGAATAGACAATTTGGTAAATATTCCAGTGAGTTGAAGGTTTGAATCTATCTCACTTAACTAGCTTAATGGATGTATTTCTAAACCTGTACAACCCACTCCTCTGCTTTTAAAAAATTAAAGTTAGCTGTAGATTGAGATGTCAGTGACACAGTTTATAGAACATAACTTAGATTGTCATCTACATTACTGTAACTACAAATACCACCCTCAGATGGAGGAATCAGTTTTATCAGTGAACATCTAATTGAACTATAAATGGTGTATGTCTTCTGGCTTTTACAAGCTCTTGGTCTAACACGGGATATATGATGTAAAAATTACAAAGCAAGGCCATGCACGGTGGCTCATGCCTGTAATCCCAGCACTTTGGGAGGCCAAGGTGGGTGGATCACAAGGTCAGGAGATCGAGATCATCCTGGCCAACACGGTGAAACCCCATCTCTACTAAAAATACAAAAATTATCTGGGTGTGGTGGCACACGTCTGTAGTCCCAGCTACTCAGTAGTCTGAGGCAGGAGAATCGTTTGAACCCAGGACGCGGAGGTTGCAGTGAGCCGAGATCGCACCATTGCGCTCCAGCCTGGTGGCAGAACAAGACTCCATCTCAAAAATAAATAAATAAATAAATAAATAATAAAATAGCAATGACTATAATGTTTTGTGATGTTAAACTTTGAGAGCTTTTTTTTTCTTTCTTTTCCCAAGTCCCTTTCCCAGTTCCAGAAGCAGAGTTATTCTAAGCTCACTGATGTAAACGAATAGAAAGAAAAGGTTTGCTGGAAAAACTAATAACTTGCTATCTTTTCTGTCTTTTGTTTTTTAAAAGCTTGAGCATTTGGGAGAATTTGGAAAGATTGTGGAGTAAGGGCAAAGAAGGAATTTGCTAAAAAAATTATATAGGGTAAAATGAGTTTTTTCCAGGTTAGAAAATATCCACTCCCTACACTCCTACATTCCTTTCCCATGGTTAAGAAGAGGAAAAAACGAAGGCCTCTTGGTGAGCAGTGGTGACTTCGGCAGTTTCTTCAAATATTCTAGAAGGCATAGTCATCTTTTAAAAAAAATAGCTACAAGGATATGTCTAAGCAGAAGGGACCATGGGCCAAATTACGTGTAGATTTTTGCATTCCAAATATGGTAAAGAAGAAGCAGGAAGCTGGGGGGCCTAAACAAGCCACACAGAAATGGACAAGGAAGAGGCCAGCAGCAGCTTGTGGGGGCAAGATGTCAAGCCCCAAATGTTAAACCCACCATCCATCTTCCAAATTCTGGCTCTGCTTAACAAGGCTGTGGTCTGACACTAGATGCCGCCTCAGTGACTAAAGCATAATTCCCCTTCTCCTGGGAGTGTTGACAGCTGACTCCTGTCAACAATACTCACAGCACAGTAAAGTTCCTTCATCCAAATCCATGTCCCTTCTCAAGGCATCCCACATCCGAGAACTGCTTGGTACAGAAATATAATGGCCTTGTTTGCTTGCTCCAATTTGAGGTCATTAGGTAAACTCACCAAGATCCCTGTAGAGTGCACTGCGGCCATGATAGTGATTGCATTCCAGCCGACTTCCTGCTCCACCCAATCCTATTGCTTTCGCTCTTCCACAGATGTTGGGAATATCATTTCAACCTCCTTGCATGTAAATCTCCAACTCGGAGTCGGCTTCCTAGGACACTTGACTGGTGACATCTCTATCACTATCACAGTACTTAGAGGGGAGCATCTTAAAATGATTGAGGGCTAACTGCCCTAACAGCACAGGCAGATGGTGGCTTAAAATAGAATTTAAGTGGACTTAAAAAAACATGAAAAAAATTGACATTGCACGCTCATATGAGCTTATGGATC
>NC_000022.11:12776204-12818137 GCF_000001405.40 Homo sapiens
GATCAGTGGAGACCTGGTCAGCTGGGGCTTAGTGCTGGCCTGGTCAGCATGGGCTGGGGCACCGGTGACAAGGTCAAGGGGTGCTATTCAGTGGAGGACTGGGCACATGGGACCTAGTCAGCAGACCCTGGTGGGCGTGTCCTCATCAGTGAGGCCCTTGTCAGTGGGGCCCTGGTCAGGGCAGCCTTGTCAGCGGGACCTAATATGTAGCGTCCTGGTCAGAGAGGACTTGGTCAGTGGTGACTTTTGTAGCACTGTTCTACAGGGTGACCTGGTCAGCGGGGATCTCAGCATTTGGTTCCAGTTCAGTGGGGTCTACTCACTAGGGTCCCAGTCAGGGGCATCTGGTGACCTTAGGCCTGG
The DNA here is from genome assembly GCF_000001405.40 of Homo sapiens. Taxonomy (NCBI): domain Eukaryota; kingdom Metazoa; phylum Chordata; class Mammalia; order Primates; family Hominidae; genus Homo; species Homo sapiens. The sequence continues at coordinate 12,776,568 of NC_000022.11, forward strand.
TTATTAGGGGCCTGATCGGTGGCAACCTGTTCCCTGGAGGCCTGGTCAGTGGGGCCTCATCTTTGGGGCCAGGGAATGAGGTCATGATCAGTGGAACCTGATCAGTGAGGCCTTGTCAATAATGACCTAGTCAGTGAAGACTTGTCAGTAAGGACTTGGTCCGTGAGGCCTTGTCAGTGAGGCCTTGTCAGTAAGGTCCTGGTCAGTGGAGTCCTTGTCATTGTGTGCCTGGCAGTGGGGGCCTTGTTAGTGGGGCCTGGTCATGAGGGTCTAATCAGTGAGTGTGTCATCAGGGATGACCTGATGTGCGGGGTCTGGTCAGCAGGGACCTGGTCAATGTGGGCTGCTGAGCACTGCTTGGATAAGCCAGGTGCAATGTGCATTATTGAAGGCCCTGTGGACAGCTGGGATAGCCCAGTGATGCCCAAGGGCCTAGTCAAAAGTGGACAAAGCACGTGTTTGGATGGACCTGGGAGATCCTGCTCAGAGATTCTGAGAGGAAAAAGGTAAAGGAAGGGCCAGAGTGGCTGCAGAGATGGTCACAGTCTATGGGCTGCACAGGATGAAGGAGGCCAGGGAACAGGCAGGGTGGGCAGTTGGGGTTCAGGGAGAGGCAGGTGCATGCTGGGAGGTCAGACCCTGTGAGGGCTTTGGGGGCGTCAGGTTGGGTAGGCTCCAGGCACTCTCACTCACATAGGATTCCAGAACACTGCTACAAGGCTCTGAGTGTTTGTCCCTCACATAGGATTCCAGAAGCCTGCTGCTGGGGTCTGAATGTTTGTCCCCCATCTAGGATTCCAGAACACTGCTGCGAGGGTCTGAATGTCTGTCCCTCACATAGGATTCTAGAACATTGATGCTAGGGTCTGTATGTTTGCCCTTAACATATGATTTCAAAACACTGCTCCTGGATTCTGAATGTTTGTCCTTCACATAGGAATACAGAACACTGCTGCTGGAGTCTGAATGGTTGTCACTCACATAGAATTCCAGAACACTGCTGTGAGGATCTGAATGTTTGACACTCACATGGGATTCCAGAACACTGTTGCGAGGGTCTAAATGTCTGTCCCTCACACAGGTTTCCCGAACAATGTTACGAGGTTCTGAATGTTTGTCCCTAACATAGGATTCCAGAGCACTCCTGCTGTGCTCTGAATGCTTCTCCCTCACATAGGATTCCAGAACACTGCTACGAGGGTCCGAATGCTTATCCCTCATATAGGATTCCAGAACACTTCTGCTGTGGTCTGAATGTTTGCTCCTCACATAGGATTCCAGAATACTCCTGCCGTGGTCTGAATGTTTGTCCCTCACATAGGATTCCAGAACATTCATGCTGGGGTCTCAGTGTTTCCCTTAACATAGGATTTCAGAACACTGCTTTTGGGGTCTGAATGTTTGTCGCTCACATAGGATTACAGAACACTGCTGCTGGAGTCTGAATGTTTGTCAGTCACATAGAATTCCAGAACACTGCTACAAGGGTGTGAATATTTCTCCCTCACCTAGTATTCCAGAACACTGTTGCAAGGGTCTGAATGTTGGTCCGTCATATAGGATTCCAGAACACTGATGCTGTGGTCTGAATGTTTGTCCCTCACATAGAATTCCGGAACACTGCTACAAGGGTCTGAATGTTTGTCCTTCACATACCATTCCAGAACACTGCTGCCGTGGTCTGAATGTATGTCCCTCACATAGGATTCCAGAACACTGCTACTAGGTTCTGAATGTTTTTCCCACACCTAGGATTCCAGAACACTTCTGCTGGTGTCTGAATGGTTGTTCCTCACATATGATTCCAGGACACTGCTATGAGAGTCTTAATGTTTGTCCTTCACATAGGATTCTAGAACACTGCTCCCGTGGTCTGAATGTTTGTCCTTCACATAGCATTCCAGAACACTGCTGCTGGGGTCTGAATGTCTGCCCCTCAAATCAGATTCCAAAGCACTGCTGCTGGGGTTTGAATGTCTTTCCCTCACATAGAATTCCAGAACACGGCTGGGAGGGTCTGAATGTTTGTCCCTCACATGGGATACCAGAACACTGCTGAGAAGGTCTAAATGTCTCTCCCTCACATAAGATTTCAGGACACTGCTACGAGGTTCTGAATGTTTGTCCCTCACAAAGGATTCCAGAGCACTCCTGCTGTGGTCTGAATATTTGTCCCTCACATAGGATTCCAGAACACTGCTGCTGGGGTCTGAATGCTTGTCCCTCACATACGATTACAGAACACTGTTGGTGAGGAGTGAATGTTTGTCCCTCACATAGGATACCGGACCACTGCTGTTGGGGTCTCAATGTCTGTCCCTCAAAAAGGATTCCAGAACACTGTTACGAGGGTCTGAATTTTTGTCACTCACTTAAGACTGCAGAACACTGCTTCGAGGGTCTAAATGTCTGTCCTTCACATAGGATTCCAGAACACTGCTACGAGGGTGTGAATGTTTGTCCTTCACATAGCATTTCAGAACTGCCATGGTCTGAATGGTTGTCCCTCACATAGTATTCCAGAACACTGCTATGAGGGTCTGAATGTACCTCACATAGGATTCCAGAACACTGCTATGAGGGTCTGAAAGTTTGTCCCTCACATAGGATTCCAGAAGACTGCTGCTGGGGTCTGAATGTCTGTCCCTCACATCGGATTCCAGAACACTGCTGCTGGGGTTTGAATGTATGTCCCTCACATAGAATTCCAGAAGACTGCTGGGAGAGTCTGAATGTTTGTCCCTCACATAGGATTCCAGAACACTGCTATGAGGGTCTGAATGTTTGTCCTTCACATAGGATTCCAGAACACTCCTTCTGGGGTCTGAATGTTTGTCCTTCACATAGGATTCCAGAGAACTCCTGCTGTGGTCTCAATGTTTGTTAATCACATAGGATTCCAGAACACTGCTACAAGGATCTGAATGTTTGTCCCTCACATAGGATTCCAGAACATTCATGTTAGGGTCTGAATGTTTGCCCTTATCATAGGATTTCAAAACAGTGCTCCTGGGGTCTGAATGTTTGTCCTTCATATAGGATTTAAGAACACTCCTGTTTTGGTCTGAAAGTTTGTCCTTCACATAGGATTCCAGAACACTGCTGCTGTGGTTTGAATGTTTGTCCCTCACATAAGATTCCAGAACACTGCTACGAGGGTCTGAATGTTTGTCCCTCACATAGGATTCCTGAGCATTGTTGCCGTGGTCTGAATTTTTGCCACTCACATAGGATTCCAGAACAGTGCTACGAGGGTCTGAATGTTTGTCCCTCACATAGGATTCCAGAACACTTCTGCTGGTATCTGAATGTTTGTACCTCACATAGGATTCCAGAACACTGCTGCTGGGGTCTGAACGTCTGTCCCTCACATAGGATTCTAGAACACTGCTGTTGGGGTTTGAATGTCCCTCACATAGAATTCCAGAACACTGCTGCGAGTGTCTGAATGTTTGTCCTGCAGATGGGATTCTAGAACACTGCTGCGAGGGTCTAAATGTCTGTCCCTGACATAACATTCCAGCACACTGCTACGAGGTTTTGAAATGTTTGTCCCTCACATAGGATTCCAGAACACTCCTGCTGTGGTCTGAATGTTTGTCCCTCACATAGGATTCCAGAACATTCCTGATGTGGTCTGATTGTTCCTCACATAGGATTCCAGAACACTGCTACGAGGTTCTGAATTTTTGTCCGTCACATAGGATTGCAGAACACTGCTACAAGGGTTTGAAAGTTTTTCCCTCACATAGGATTCCACAACACTGCTGCTGGGGTCTGAATGTTTGTCCCTCACATAGGATTCTGGAACACTCCACCTGGCTTCTGAGTGTTTGTCCCTCACATAGGATTCCTGAAGACTGCTGCTGTCACTATAGTCGTTGCGAGTGTCTGAATGTTTGTCCTTCACCAAACACTAAATATCCTGCCCCTTTAGTCTTGGACTTTCCAGCCTCCAGATCTGTGAGCAATAATCTCTGTTGTTTATGAATTACTCAGTCTAAAGTATTTTGTTATAGTAGCCTAAAAAGACTAAGAGAGCATCACCTGCCCTGTCACCTCATCACCGCATTACTGAAGCTATACTAACAGCAGTCACTTTTAGTGGGTGCTTCATGCATGAGAATAAAGGGAAAAAATTGAAAGGCATACTAAAATCCAAAAAAAGAAAAAAAATACAATTTGTATTAACAGAGCAAGCTTCAGAAGCAGACAAAGATATGATTTTGGAATTTTTTTAAACCTCTGGAGAATATGCTAAGGGCCTAATGAATGAAGTAGACAGCATTCAAGTATAGATGGGTAATGTAATCAGAAAGACAGACATCGTAAGAACCTTCAACATAATGTAGTGGTAAAAAATGTGGTAAATAACTGAAGAATACCTCTGATGGCTTATTAGTAGACTGGACTCAGCTGAGTAAATAATCTCTGAGCTTGAGGATTTATCATCAGAAACTTCGAAAACTAAAGAAAAGAAACACTGAAAAGAACAGAAGATGATATCCAAGACTGTGGGACAACTACAAAAGGTGAAACAGAGTAATGAGAATACCAGGAGGGGAAGAAATAGAAGAAAGTTCTGCAACAACCATGTCTGAGAACTTCCAGTATTAATGTCAGACACCAAACCAAAGATCCAGGAAGCTCCGAGAACACCAGGCAGAATAAATGTCAACAACCTACACTTGGACATATAATTTTCAAACTATATGAAATAAAAGATAAAGGGAAACTCTGAAAGAAACCAGAGGTGGGGCAGAAAACACCTTACCTACAGAGACACAAAGATAAGAACTGCATTCAACATTGCAGAAACTGTGAAAGCAAGAAGACAGTGAAATGAAAAATTCAAAATGTTGACAGAGAAAAACCCACCAACCTAAGTTTCTGTACCCACTGAAAACACCCTTCAAAAGTGAAGGAAAATTAAGGCCTTCCTCAGAAAAATAAAAATTCAAGAAACTTGTTGCCAGGAGACCTGTCTTGCAAGAAATGTTAAATGAAATTCTTTAGAGGGAAACAAAAGATATATAACTGAAACTTTGATCAACATTTTTAAAAAAGAGCATTAAAGAATTGTGGTACAATAAAAACCTATGTATTTATTCTTAATTGATCTGACCAAGAAGTTCATAGACAATAACAAATACACACAGATAGATTATGTATGCTTATACACAAGTTAAATGAGTAACACTAATACAAGGAATGGAATGGAAGGATGGGAGGGAGGAATTGTGGTACAATAAAAACATGTATTTATTCATAATTGATCTGACCAATAAGTTTGTAGATAATAATAAATACACACAGATAGATTATGTATGCTTATACACAAGTGAAATAAGGAACAATAATACAAGGAATGGAATGGAAGGATGGGAGGGAGGAATCAGGTGTTTTCTTTGTTAAGCAGGTAGTCACCCGTGAAGTGGGATAGTGTTATCTGAAAGTGGATTTGAATTGGTTGTAAATGTATATTGAGGAATTAGGTGTGTTCTTTGTTAAGCAGGTAGTCTTATTTGTGGGATAGTGGGATAGTGTTATTTGAAAGTGGACTTGCATTGGTTGTAAATGTTACTGAGGAATTAGGTGTTTTGTTTGTTAAGCAGGTAGTCTTATTTGTGGGATAGTTGGATAGTGTTATTTGAAAGTGGACTTGAATTGGTTGTAAATGTATATTGCAAATTCTGTGGCAACTAGTTAAAAAAAGTTTTAAAAAGAGAAGTACATGCTAAGAAAGACAGGGAAAATGTAGTCATCTAAAATCATCAATGAAAACTGCAAAAGGCAGAAAAAGAGTGGTAGACAAAAGAATGGAGACTGAGGAGAATGAATAGAAAACAGTAACAAATATAGTAGATATTAATCCAATGATATCAATAATCACTTTGAATGCTAATGGTATGAATGTACCAATTCAAAGATAGAGATTGTCAGAGTCTATCAAAAGACAGACACATCTTGTTTCACTGCACTTTGCTTTATTGTGTTTTGTGACCATGTGTTTTACATATTGAAGGTTTGTGGCCACCCTGCAATAAGCAGGTCTGACTGGCACCATTGTTCCTACAGCACGTGCTCACTTCACGTCTCTGTGTCACATTTCGGTCATTCTCACAGTATTTTAAGCTTTTTATTATTGAATCTGTTGTGGTGATCTGTAATCAGTGATCTTTAATGCTACTGTTTTCATTGTTTTGGGAACCACAAATCACACCAGGATAAGACAGCAAACAATTGACAAATGCGTTTGTTCTGACTGCCCCACCAACGGGCCATTTCTCTTTCTCTCTCTTTTTCTCAGGCTTCTTTTTATTAATATTAAAATGTGGCCAATTAATAACCCTACAATAGCCTCTATATGTTCAAGTGAAAGAAGAGTTGTATGTCTGTCACTTTAAACCAAAAGGAAGAAATAATTAAGCTTAGTGAGGAAGGCATGCTGTAAGCAAGACAGGCCAGTAGCTAGACCTCATGCAACAAACACTTAGCCAAGTTGTGAATGCAAAGGAAGTGTTCTGGAAAGAAATTTAAAGTACTACTCCAGTGAATACATGAATGATAAAAAGCTAAACAATCTTGCTGCTGTTATGAAGAAAGTTTAATTGTTCTAGATAGAAGATAAAAAAAATTCCATTAAGCCTAAGCCTAACTACCTTTTTACTTTTTTCTTTGTTTTTGAGACAGAGTTTCATTTTTCTTGCCCAAGCTGGAGTACAATGACGTGATCTTGGCTCATCACAACCTCTGCCTCCCAAGTTCAAGCTCTCCTGCCTCAGCATCCCGAGTAGCTGGGATTACAGGCATGCACCACCACGCCTGGCTAATTTTTTGTATTTTTAGTAGAGACGGGGTTTCTCCACGTTGGTCAGACTGGTGTCGAACTCCCGACCTCAGGTGATCTGCCCGCCTCGGCCTCCCAAAGTGCTAGGATTACAGGTGTGACAGCCACCACACCTGGCCTCTCTTCAATTCTATGAAGACTTAGAGAGGTGAGGCAGCTGCAGAAGAAAAGTCTGAAGCTAGAAGAACTTGTTTCTTGAGGTTTAAGGAAAAAAGTCATCTCCATAACATAAAAGCGCAAGATAAAGCAGCAAGTACTGATGGAAAAGCTGCAGAAAGCTATCTAGAAGATAATTGATTAAGATGGCTACACTAAACAGATTTGCAATGGAGACAAAACAGCCTTCTACTAGAAGGAGATGCCATCCAGGATGTTCCCAGCTAGAGAGAAGTTGATGCCTGGATTTAAGGCTTCAACGGACATGCTGACTCTTTTGTTAAGGCCTAATGCAGTTGGTGATGTTAACTTGAAACCAATGATGATTTACTATTCTGAAAATCCAAGGGCCCTGAAGAATTATGATAAAACACAGCTCTGTCTGTACTCTACAAATGGGAACAAAGCCTGAATGACGGACTATCGGTTTACAATTATGGTTTATTGAATATCTTAAGCCCACTGTCGACAACTACTGCTCAAGAAATAAGATTCCTTTCAAAGTATTACCGCTCACTGACAATGCCCCTGGTACTCAACGGCTTTTACAGAGATGTATAAAGAGCTGAATATTGTTTTCATGCCTACTAACCCAACATTCATTCTGGTGCCCTTGGATCAAAGAATAATTTCAACTTTCAAGTCTTATCACTTAAAAAATATATTTCATAAAGCTATAGCTTCTCTAGAAAGTGATTCCTTTGATGGATCTGGGCAAAATAATTGAAAACCTACTGGAAAGGATTCACCATTCTAGATGCCATTGAGAACATTCATGATTTAAAAAAGAAGATCAAAATAGCAACATTAGGAGAAGTTGGGGCTGGGCTTGGTGGTTCACGCCTATAATCCCAGCACTTTGGGAGGCCAAGGCACGTGGATCATGAGGTCAGGAATTTGAGACCAGCCTGGCCAACATAGTGAAATCCTGTCTATACTATAAACACAAAAAAAATTAGCTGGGCCTGGTCGGGGGTGACTGTAATCCCAAACACTTGGGAGGCTGAGGCAGGAGAATTGCTTGAACACGGGAGGTGGAGGTTGCAGTGAGCTGAGATCGCATCACTGCACTCCAGCCCAGGCAAGACTTCATCTCAAAAAAATAAAAGAAAGACAGAGAAGTTGGGAAGATTATTCCAACCCTCACTAATGACACAGGGGTTCACGACTTCTGTGGAGGAAGTAACTGCAGATATGGTGGAAATAACAAGAGCACTAGAATCAGAGACAGAGCCTGAAGATCTGGCGAGACTGCAGCAGCCTCTGGAGAAAAAGTGAGAGGATGAGTTGCTTCCACGGATGAGCAAAGAAAGTGGTTTCTTGAGATGAAATCTACTCGTGGTGAAGATAGTGTAAACAATGTTGAGATGACAACAGATTTAGAATAAACTTGGTACAGCAGAAGGAAGGCTTGACAGGATTGAACCCAATGATTTACAATAATACATAAACTTAGTTGGTACAGCAGTACGAAGTTTTGACAGCATTGAATCCAATTTTGAAAGTTCTACTGTGGGTAAAAAGCTATCATCTTATGCTACAGATAATTCTTTTGTGAAAGGGAGAGTCAATTGACACAGCAAACTTCAATGTTGTCTTATTTTAAGAAATTGCCACAGCCACCCCAACGCTCAGCAACCACCACCTTACATTAAGGTAAGACCCTCCATCAGCAAGAAGACTGAAACTTGGCCAGGTGCAGTGGCTCACACCTGTCATCCCAACACCTTGGGAGGCCAAGGTGGGTGGATTGCTTGAGCCCAGGACATCAAGGCAAAATGGCAAAACCCCATCTCTACAAAAAAAGAAAATACAAAAATTAGCTGGACACGGTGGCATGCACCTGTAGTCCCAGCTAGTCAGGAGTCTGAGGTGGGGGTTTGATTGAGCATGAGGTTGAGGCTGCAATTACTCCAGCCTGAGCCACAGAGTGAAACCCTGTCACGAACACAAAAAAAGATTGCAGCTTTCTGAAGGCTCAGATGACTGTTAGCACTTGTTAACAATAAAGTATTTGTAAATTAAAGTGTGCATACTTTGTAGACATATGCTATTGCACACTTTATACAGCACAGTATAAAGATACTTTTACATGCACTGGGAAACCAAAAGAAATTGTATAAAACTTTATTGCAGTGGTCTGGAACCAAACCCACATATATCTCTGATGCATGGACGTCCTGTATTGTACACTTAAAAAAATACTTAAGAGGGTATATTTTATGTGAAATGGTCATCTCATTTTTTTTTTTTGAGACGGAGTCACACTCTGTTGCCCAGGCTGGAGTGCAGTGGCACGATCTCGGCTCTCTGCAAGCTCTGCCTCCCGAGTTCACACCATTATCCTGCCTCAGTCTCCCGAGTAGCTGGGACTACAGGTGCCCGCCATCACGCCTGGCTAAATTTCTGTATTTTTAGTAGAAACGGGGTTTCACTGTGTTAGCCAGGATGGTCTTGATCTCCTGACCTCGTGATCCACCTGCCTTGGCCTCCCAAAGTGCTGGGATTACAGGCGTGAGCCGCCACTCCCAGTCTCATTTTTTAAAAAGGGTGAGAATGAGAAATATATGGGGAGTGATTGTCAAGTTTACGGCATTATTTGTTGTGATGAGACCTGGGACGAATGCTTATCCCTATACTCATTAAGATGTATATATTCGGTGTCACACGCCTGTAATCCCAGCACTTTGGGAGGCCGAGGCAGGTGGATCATCTGAGGTCAGGGGTTCGAGACCAGCCAGGCCAACATGGTGAAACCCTGTCTCTACTAAAAAAATACAAAAATTAGCCAGGCGTGGGGTCGCACGCCTGTGATCCCAGCTACTGAGGAGGCTGAGGCAGGAGAATTGCTTGAACCTGGGAGGCGGAGGTTGCAGTTAGCTGAGATCGTGTCACTGCACTCCAGCCTGGACAACAAGAGTAAAACCTCCGTAACACACACACACACACACACACACACACACAAGGTATATATTAAATATGTGTAATTTTTGTGTGTCAACCACACCTTAGCTTTATTTTATTTTATTTTTTTGAGACAGAGTCTCGCTCTGTCACCCAGGCTGGAGTCCAGTGGTGCAATCTCGGCTCACTGCAAGCTCCACCTCCCAGGTTCACACCATTCTCCTTCCTCAACCTCCGGAGTAGCTGGAACTACAGGCACCCGCCACCACGCCCGGCTAATTTTTTGTATTTTTAGTACAGATGGCGTTTCACCGTGTTAGCCCGTATGGTCTCGATCTCCTGACGTGATCTGCCTGCCTCAGCTTCCCAAAGTGCTGCGATTACAGGTGTGAGCCACCACGCCCAGACAATTTTTATTTTTTTTGAGACAGAGCCTCACTCTGTCACCCAGACTGGAGTGCAGTGGCACTATCTTGGCTCACTGCAGCCTCTGCCTCCCATGTTCAAGCAATTCTCCTGCCTCAGTCTCCCGAGTAGCTGGGAATACAGATGCATGCTATCACGCCTGGCTAATTTTTTGATTTTTAATAGAGATGAGGTTTCACCATGTTGGCCAGGCTGGTCTCAAACTCCTGACCTCATGTGATCTGCCCACCTCAGCCTCCCAAAGTGCTGGGATTACAGGTGTAAGCCACTGCACCCGGCAATTTTTAAATATATATAATTAAAAATTAATAAAAAACAGGTATTTGCAAGTTTCCGTTTTGTTATATGCTTATTATTCTTTATCTTTATGTCAGGTTGCTGTGTCAATACACTTAGGAGATCATAGTTTCTAAATTGAAATACAAATAAATATGTCTGAAATTTTTTTTCTTTTTTTTGAGACGGACTCTCATTCTGTCACCCAGGCTGGAGTGCAGTGGTGCAATCTCAGCTCACTGCAACCTCCACTTCCCAGATTCAAGTGATTCTCCTGCCTCAGCCTCCAGAGTAGCTGGGATTACAGGCACCCGCCATGACACGCAGCTAACTTTTATATATTTTTTTTTCTATTTTTAGTAAAGACAGGTTTCACCATGTTGGCCAGGGTGGTCTCCAACTCCTGACCTCAGATGATCCTCCCGCCTCGGCCTCCTCAAGTGCTGGGATTACAGGTGTAAGCCACTGTGCCTGGCCTGGAATTTTTTTCTAAAATTTACATTTCTGAGTTAAGAATGCTTAAAATATTATAAAAACAGAAGCACAATTCATTATGTGTTTCATTAATTACCTTTATTAAAAACAACACAATTATATTACAATAGGACAAAAAATGTTTAAGCAAATGAAAACGAAACCATGACATACCCAAACTCAGGAGGAGGCAACAAAGGCAGTGCTAAAGGGAAGCTTACAGCTGCAGATGCTTAAATTAAAAAGAAGAAAGATCTCAAACCCATGCTAAAGGGAAGCTTACAGCTGCAGATCCTTAAATTAAAAAGAAGAAAGATCTCAAACCCGTGCTAAAGGGAAGTTTACAGCTGCAGATGCTTAAATTAAAAAGAAGAAAGATCTCAAACCCTTGCTAAAGGGAAGCTTATAGCTGCCGGTTCTTAAATTAAAAAGAAGAAAGATCTCAAATCAATAACCTAACATTACACATGAAGAAGGAAAAAAAAACTAATGACAAACCAAGCAAAAGGAAGAAATTAACAGATTAGAGCAGAGATAAGCAGAATAAGACCAGAAAAAAAGGAAAAAAACACTGAGTTTGTTTTTTTAAAGATCAATAAAAATTTTAAAACTCACAACTATATTAAGAAAAAAAGAGAAATCTCAAATACTACAATCATAAATAAAAGAGTTGACAGTACAACACATGCCACAGAAATGAAAAAGATTACAAGACACTAATGTGAGCAACCATATGCCACCAAACTGGGCAACCTAGAATAAATTTATAAATTCCTAGAAACACAAACCAGCATACTGCATCACGGAGAAATAAAAAATCCAAAGAGACCTGTAACTAGTAAGAAGATTCAACCAGTAATCAAAAACCCCACCAAAAAGAAAATTCCAGGTCCAGATAACTTCACTGGAAAATTTTACCAAACATTTCAAGAAGAATTAATGCCAATCCTCTGCAAAATCTTCCAAAAATGTTCAAAAAACCAGAAGGGGACATTCCAATCCATTCTATCAGGTCAACATTTATCTGGTTCCAGAGCCAGATGAACACCTTTTGTAATAAAAACACTCAAAGAATTAGTAATATATGGAAACTCCTCAGTAAATAAAGATTATACATGAAAAGCTCACAGCTAACATCATAGTCAATCGTGAAAAACTAAAATCTTTTCCTCTAGGATCAGGAATAAGATAGCAACTTCTCTTCCTGCCACTTCTATTCACCAGAGCACTGGAATTTCTACTTAGAATAATTAGGCAAGAGAAAGTAATAAAAAGCATGCCAATGGAAAGGAAAAAGTACAAAATTTTGTTCACAGACAACAGGATGTAATGTGTAAAAATTCTGAAATTCCACAAAATACTGGTAGAATAATGAACTTCAACAAAGTTTCAGGATATAGTAACACTCTCAAGTCAGTTGCATTTCTATAAACTAACAATGAACAATCTGCAAATAAAATTTTAAAAAGAGGCCAGGTGCAGTGGCTCACACTTGTAATCCCAGCACTTTGGGAGGCCAAGGCGGGTGGACCACCTGAGGTCAGGAGTTCATGACCAGCTGGGCCAACCCCATCTCTAATATAAATAGTAAAACTCTATCTCTATTAAAAATACAAAAATTAGCTGGGCATAGTGGCAGACACCTGTAGTCCCAGCTACTTGGGATGCTGAGGCAGGAGAATTGCTTGAACTTGGAAGATGGAGGTTGCAGTCAGCTGAGATTGTGCCACTGTGCTCCAACTTAGGAAACAGAGTGAGACGCGGTCTCAAAAAAAAGAAAGAAAGGAAAGAAAGAGAGAGAAAGAAAAGAAAAGAAAAGAATAGAAAAGAAAGAGAAAACAAAAGAAATTTTTAAAAAGAATGACATTTGGCCAGGTGCGGTGGTTCATGCCAGCAATCCCAGCAATTTGGGAGGCCGAGGCGGGCAGATCACCTGAGGTCACAAGTTCAAGACTAACCTGGTCAACATGGAGAAACCCTGTCTCTACTAAAAATACCAAAAAGTTAGCTGGACGTGGTGGCATGCACCTGTGATCCCAGGCACTTGAGAGGCTGACGTTGGAGAATTGCTTGAATAAGGAAGGTGCAGGTTGCAGTGACCTGAGATAGTGCCACTGCACTCCAGCCTGGGAGACAGAGCAAGACTCCATCTCAAAAAAAAAAAAAAGAATTACATTTACAAAAGCATTAAAAAAATTAGAGGCTGGGCGCGGTGGCTCACGCCTGTAATCTCAGCACTTTGGGAGGCTGAGGCGGGCGGATCACGAGGTCAGGAGATCAAGACCATGTTGGCTAACACGGTGAAACCCCGTCTCTACTAAAAATACAAAAAATTAGCCAGGTGCCTTGGCGGGCGCCTGTAGTCCCAACTACTCGGGAGGCTGAGGCAGGAGAATGGCATGAACCCGGGAGGCGGAGCTTGCAGTGAGCTGAGATCGCGCCACGCCACTGAAGTCCAGCCTGGGCGAAAGAGTGAGACTCTGTCTTAAAAAAAAAAAAAAAAAAAAAATTAGAAATAAGCTTAACCAAGAGGGCAAAAGATTTGAACACAGAAAACTACAAAACACTGTTGAAAGAAATTAAACACAAATAAATGAAAAGAAAAGCTGGGTTTGCAGATTAGATGATTTCATCTTGGAATGATGTCAACACTACACGAAGTGACCTAGATTCAATACAATCCTTATAAAGATTCCAATGACATTTTTGATAAACAGAAAAACCTATCCTAAAATTCATATGGAATCTCCAGGGCCCATGAATAGGCAAATCGATCTTGAAACAGAACAAAATTAAAGGTCTCAAAACAATTACAAAACTGCAATAAGCCAAAAAAAAAATGTGGTCATGGCATAAATACACTCTTGACACACTTATGGACCAACACAACAGAGACCTCAGAAACCAATCCTGGCATATATGGTCCGATGATGTTCCACAAGGATGCCAAGACCACTCAATGGTGAAGGACAGTTTCTGCAACAAATTGTGTTGGGAAAATTGTATATCTACATGCAAAACAGTGAAGTTGGACTCTTACCTTACAACACGTTAAAATTAATTCAAAGTGAATTATAAACCTAAATGTAAAACTAGAACTATCAAACTCCTAGGGAAAACAAATTTGGAAAATGCTTTATGACGATGAATTTGTCAATAATTTTTAGGATATGACATTAAAAGCTCAGGCAGTAAAAACAAAAATATATCAAACCTAAAAACTTCTGTACCTCAAAGGTCACAACCAACAGGGTAAAAGGCAAACTGTAGAATAAATAAAATACCAGTTGAGTGTTCCTTATTTGAAATGCTTGGGATGTGTTTCAGATTTTGTAATATTTGCACTATTCTTACTGGTTGAGCATCTCGAATTCAAACACCTGAGTCTGAGATGCTCCAATAAGCATTTCCTTTGAGTGTCATGTTGGCACTCTAAAAGTTTCAGACTTTGGAGCATTTGGGATTTCAGATTTTTGGATCAGAGACATTCAACCTATAGTTGCTCATCATGTATCTCATAAGAAGTGAACATACAGAATACGTAAAGAACTCCTACAGAGAGACTACCAGAAGCAGAGAGGAGCAAACACATTTTCACACTAGGGCACCTCCTATCTCTCCTGGATTCCAATTAGGGCAGAGTAAGTGCTAGTTCTCTGCCAACCTAGGATTAGGCCCTGCAGCTGCAGTGAAAATAATCACAGAAGAAAACTAAGAAATAAAAAATGGAGAAAGTGAGACATCAAACTAGAATTACTAGAAACCCCTAGGAAGAAGGAAAAAAAAAACAAAACAGAAAAACAATCAAACCGGTTAATTAAACCTTGGTGTGACCAGAAGATCAGGGTTTCCTAAAGGAATGGAAATTTATTGACTTGAAGAGGATTTATTTATTACTGATTTGAAGAGGAAGAAAAACCATGAATGGTCTAAAGCAAAAGCCTAGTGTCTGAAGAAGTCAGTAGGGTGAAAACAAGAGCTGGCCAGAATGTCCACAGATGGTGACAAGTTTGCAAAGCCTTTACTAGACTACTTGTGAGGCTAACTAGAGGCCAAGGAGCCAACACTGCCCCTGTCCTTACAGAGAGACCCTACAGAGGATTCCCAGATATACATGGAAGGACAACATCTTGTCAGGTCCTCTCTGTGCAGATGTGGTTATCATTCCAAATAATGAGCTCCAGCCCCAAGACTGTTCCATCCTCAATTGCTTTGAGTGGGCAATGTAGGCTCTCCACACACGAGCTACATGTAGGTTCCTTGGGTACCCAGATGGGAGCCGTGAAACACAAACCCTCCATGGTCAGGTCCGTATCTGTTTCCTGCCTTTTCCCCAGCAATCCCCAGGCCTCAGCAGCAGTGGTCTACCTCTGCTGATTCTCATTCAGAATCTAAACTTAGAAACAATTAGAACCTAGGCCCCAATTCTATCTGAAAGTAACAGAATAACATAATCTATACCCTGCAGCATGACTGTTTGCCCAACGTAATGAGGATGAACTGAGAGATAATGAATGACCATGACCCTGGCCCAAGTAACAAGAATGAACTGTGAGATAAATGAATGATCATGACCAAAAAACCCCACTACAACACAACAACAAAATAAAGTGATTAAAAAATGGACAAAGAACATTTATCCAAAGATGCAAAGATGATATAAAAATAGCCAACAGATACATGAGATATATGAGAAGATGTGTAACATCACTAGTCATTAAAGAAATGCAAATAGAAACCACAATGGGACATCACTTCTAACCCAACAGAAAGTAACAAGTGCAGGTGAAACTGAAACCCTTGAACACTGTTGGTGGAAATATGAACTGGCTCCTCACAAAAAATAAAATAAAATGACCATATGATCCAGGCATCCAACTTCTACAGAGACAGAATAACTAGTAGCGGGAACTCCAACAGATATGTGCACACCTATGTTCACAGGAGCATTACACAGCCACAAGTGGAAGAAACCAAAACGTCCATCCAGGAATAGATGGATAAACAAAAGGATATATATAGAGAGAGAGAGAGAGAAAAAAAATATATATATATATGAAGAAATATTATTCAGCCATAGAAAGGAAGAAAATCCTGACACATCTGACACATAACATGGAACCTACTTACAAAACAACAAATATTATATAACCCTAGGTATATAAGCCAAAGTTTTAGAAACACAAAGTAGAATAGTACTTGCCAGGAGGTGGAAGGAAGGGGGAATTAATAGTTGTTGAATGGATATAGAGTTTTCCAAGATAAAAAAAAAAATCTAGAAATCTGCTACACAACACTGTAAATATTCTTAACTCTACAAAACTGTACACTTACAACTGGTTATGATGGTAAATTTTAAGGTATGTGTTTGTTACCAAAATTAGAAATAATAAATTATTTATAAAAAATGATATTTTTTGACACAGGATCTTACTCTGTTGCCCTGGCAGGAGTGCAATGGCATGATCACAGCTCATTGCAGCCTCAACCTCCCAGGCTCAAGCAACCCTCCCACCTGAGCCTCCCGAATAGTTGGGACTACAGGTGCACACCAAGATGTCAGGCTAAAGTTTGGTTTGTTTTTTTGTAGAGAGGGTTTTCCCATGTTGCCCAGGCTGGTCTCAACCTCCTGGGCTCAAGCAATCCACCTCCCTTGGACTCCCATAGAGCTGAGATTACGAGCATAAGCCAACATGCCCAGCCTATAAAAAATTATTTCAAAAAGCCAAAATATTAATCAAACTGGAATATTTAGAAATATTTAACCCAAAAGAAGTTAGGAAAGAATATATAGAAGATCAAAAGACAGACGAAGACCAGGCATGGTGGCTCATGCCTGTAATCTGAACAATTTGGGAGGCCAAGGTGGGTAGGTTGCTTGAGCTCAGGAGTTCAAGACCAGCCTGTGCAACATGGCAAAACTCTATCTCTACAAAAAATATAAAAATTAGCCAGGTGTGGTGCCACGCACCTGTAGTCCCAGCTACTCAGGGGGCTCAAGTGAGGATTGGTTGGGCCTGGGAGGCAGAGGTTGCAGTGAGCCAAGATTGCATCATTGCACTACAGTCTGGGTGACAGAGCAAGACCCTGTCTTAAAAATAATAAAAAAACAAATAGAAAATAACTAGAAAAATGGCAGACCTAAATCCAACCTTAGCAATGATTAGTTACAATGTAACTGGACAAATACTCTACTTAAGACAGAGACTGCCAGACCTGAGAGGAAGGCAAGACCCAACAATATGGCATCCACAGAGACACAATTTAAACACAAAGACACAAACAAAGTATGAGAAAAAATATGCTATGCAGACACTAATCATAAAAATATGCTATCCAGACACTAATCATAAAAAGCTTCAACAGAGATGTTAACACTAGATGAAAGAGGCTTCAGAGCAAAATATATCACCAGAAATAAACAGGGTAATTTAATAAAAATAAAAGAATCAGAGAGGATGATGTTACAATTAAAAATTGTGCCTCAAAATGCACACAAAGTACACACACACACACAACCTCAAAGTATGTGAATCAAAAACAACAGAACAAAAGCAGGAAATTGACAATCCAAAATTATAGCTGGTGAATTAATACTGCTCTCTCAGTAACTGATGGGACAACCAGATAAAAATATAGGAAAAATATGGATCTAAATGACAAAATCCTGACCCAAATGGTACTTGGCAGTACCAAGATAGACTGTATGTCGATCGATTGAGAAAAGGTTCAAGCCTGAAATACTATACAAAGGATGTTGTCTGAACAGTTGAAATTAAATTAGAAACCAACAACAAATTGATAACCAGAAAAGCCTCAAATGTCTGAAAACCAAGTAATAAACTTTGAAATACCCTGTGAGTCAAAAAAGTATTCACAAGGGGAACTGGAATGTATTTGGAACAAACTTGTTATAAAAATCTCATTTCTGGTAGACTAAAGGTGACAACTTCTTTCCTGCTCCTCTCTCTGTGAGGACCAATTCCCCTTAAACCTTGACCAAACTACTGACTTATTTGGCCAACAGAAGGTGACAAAGGTGGTATTTGGGGACTTCAGAAGCCAGGCTGAGAAAACAGAACACTTATCCAGGAGAAAGCCAGTCACCAGGCAGGAAATCCCACTCCCCTGAGACCTCATGATGGAAACCAAACGGCCAGTCCATGACTAGCTACATGCATTGACATCCCCCACTGAGCCTCCAGCAACACCGACTCCCAACAACTAGTGAGCCTCCAGCAACATCCACTCCCAACCACTAGTGAGCCACCCTGCACACCACCTCACTGTGCTTTCACACAATCCAGCTTGGCTGCAACTGTGTGTGAGATGAGCTGACCACCAAGACTCTCTAAGCCAAAAAACAAGTAATAATGAGTTGTTTTAAGCTGCCAAGTTTTGGGGATGGTTTCTTCAGAATAGATAACTGGAACAGAATATGACAGCTGGAAATGAGCTGCTGTGGTAATCAGAAGCTACAATATGTGACACGACTGTGAGGCTGATCTGTAACTGGGCCTCAAGGAGACCATTCATGCAACCTGGAAGAGCATCAAGACACTTGGTCAGGGCCTGAAGGACGGTAAGAAAATGTCATTGGAAACTGGAGAAAAGGCCTGAGAGTTACGTGCTGAGGGACTGTGGGAAAACTATGGCCACAACATGGAAACTGAAAGGGCACTGCACCATCTCAGGGATCTGCCTAAGGAGACATCTGGGAAGAACATGGAAAGTGCTACCAGCCTCCGCTAACTGTCACTGAATAAATATGACAGGAGAGGGACATGATCTAAAGAAGAAGGTTCAGTTTTCAAACAGAATTTAGAGAAAATATAAAGAAATAATTTCTTGTCTCAAAAGGCCAAAGTAAAAAAAAAAAAAAAAAGAAAAGAAAAGGAAAAAAAATGAAAAAGAAGCCATTGAATACCCTATTGACCATAAGAAAAAGGCAGGGAAAGTTGGTCAACGGCAACCCAGGCACTGAAGGAAAAAGAACATGGAGAATGACAAAAGCCCAGAGGGAAGAGTAAAAGGACACAAACACCATTCTCAGGGACCAGGACTGGGTGCCGTTCTCAGGGACCAGGACTGGGCACTAATCACAGAACTGTAACAGGCACCCCATGGGAATGACCAACTGTTAGACGGGGCCTGCAGGGCAGCACTTCCCTCTTGCCTCCCACCAACAGCTTCTAAAGGGAAATGCCGACTGTTTTCACACCAGTCCCCTCACTGAGGCTGAGATTGTGGGCTCAGATGATAGGTCATAACAACCTGATTCAGTCCTCACTGTGGCTGAGTGTGTCAGGGGCAGACAGGCCACCACAACCTGATTCAGTCCTCACTGTGGCTGTGTGTGGGGGGTCAGATGACAGGTCACCACAACCTGATTCAGTCCTCACTGCGGCTGAGTGTGTGTGGGTGCAGATGACAGGCCACCACAACCTGATTCAGGATTCAGTTGGGTTACTAGCCAGTGCCATAAGGAAAACCTTTCTGGGGCTCTTGAGAGGGGCAAAGCATAATTTGCATGTAGGAGAAATGTTAATAGTTTGTGGCCAGAGGACAAGCTGTGGTTTATTAAAGACTGCTGCAGGTTCCTACTATGCTTCTCATCAAGAGGTGGAATCTAATCACCTTCACCCCTTGAATCATGGCTGGTCTCAGTGATGAGTGCGACTGGGCAGTGTGGCAGGAGAGATGCTCTGGGACTTCTGAGGGGCGATCATGAGAGTCCTTACAGCTTCTGCCTGGGCCTCTTGGACACACACCCTGGGAGAAGCCAGACAAACCTGACTACCTGACGCTGCCAGACTGGGAGGAAGTCCGTGCTGGCCACGAAGAGAGGGCTGGGTGCCTGCTCCATGTCCCCAGCCACTAGAGTCCTTCCAGATGAGACCAAGGACATCATGAAGCAACCAACCAACACCGCCCTGTCCAGTGTCTTGACCCAGAAAATTGTGACATGTAAAAAGAATAAATTCCTGGTTTAAGCCAGTAAGGTTACTGGTACATTGTTACATCTCAGATAATTAAAACCTTGAAAAACTCATGAGAGATCACAAGTAGAACCTTGATCTGAAACGGCATGTAGCGATTTATATTGAGTATTAGGTTAAAAATGCAAGAATGGAGCATAGTTAATATTTTACGTTAAAGCTAAAACTATAATTGCCTACTTCAAATTTTCAGTTAATTAGGTTGTCACTTTTTGTTCTTAACCAAGAAATCAACTAGTTTTAGTCCATAAACAGTTAGAACTGATGCAAACATCCGTTTCTCCTTACTCATTTTAAACAGCTATCTGAAATAGGAAGTTTAATATAATCTTTAAAGAATCTGAAAACATGACAGAAATGTTTAAACTATAAACATGTATTGTATATGTTAGCATATTGTATACATTGCATATTAACATAAGCTAGAATCATTGACATAAATTTATATAAACAAAAGGTGTAAAATATGACAATGTTCTTCTTGACTTTTGTCTTTGCATATTTCTTTATTGGCCTTTGTCAAATGTGACCCACTAACTCCTGAATGCTTTGTCTCTCCCCATGGATTCCTAAGGATGTCACCACAGTGTTGGCCAGATGCACAGGTCACAGGGGACTGAATCTCATCACCCCACAAACATACCATTCAGGTTTTGCCAAGAATGACACTGTAAATGTAACAAAGCTTCCGTGCTTGTTAGTGAACACCAACTCAGCTCCTCTCCTGTATTCAGAAATCAGGATGAGATGAAAACAACAAGCAGGCCAGGCACGGTGGCTCACGCCTGTAATCCCAGCACTTTGGGAGGACAAAGCATGTGGATCACCTGAGGTCGGGAGTTCGAGACCACCCTGATCAAAACAGAGAAACCCCATCTCTACTAAACATACAAAATTAGCTGGGCATGGTGGCAAATGCCTGTAATACCAGCTACTCAGGAGCTGAGGCAGGAGAATTGCTTGAACCCGGGAGGTGGAGGCTGCAGTGAGCCGAGATCACACCACTGCGCTCTAGCCTGGACAACAAGAGTGAAACCCTGTCTCAAAAGAAAAAAAATTAAAAATAAAAGAACAAGGAAACAAAAGTAACAAGGCTTGACACCAGATGAGCCTGAATCTAAGCAAGAAAAGCCCAGAAGAAATCCCATTTTGGGTCACTGGCTGCATGGTAGTAATATCATACACATAAGGGAAGAGAGGAGGATGTGGCTTTCACTTTGAATTTTTTGAGCTTAAGGTAACTTTTGCGTAGCTACAAAGAAGCATTCAACAGAGAGTTAAACCTATGATGGAAAGACTGAAGGGGTCCAACCTGTAGAGAAACAGGACTGCAAACCACAAAGGGCTGAATCAGTCAAGGAGAACTGCAGGGCGGGATGAACAGGGGCTAATGGAACATTTGGATAAGCTGTTGAGAAGAAAGGAGAATTCAGAGAAAAAGAACTGTCAGTGAGGTCATAATAGGAACTATTACAGTGAACTAAATATGGCCTGGGAAGGACTCTGTACTTCTAGATTTGAGTCCCTGTGGACAAACTGCAACCTAACTTAATAGGTAGGAAGACTGAAAACCTAACTTAGGAGTATGCGCCTGTAACTATAGCTGAGTCCTGGCCAATCCCAACAACCAAACTTCTGCCACTCACACACTGCTGAGTGTTCAGCTGTGTTCAGATAAGGCAAATGCTGAGCACTGTAACCAGTCCAGTTGTTTCTGGACCTCACTGCTGAGAACGGTAAGGGACCCAGTTGCTTCTGGTCCTCACTCCTCACTTCAGATTTCTGTACATCACGTTCCCTTTATTGTCTATAAATCTTCCACCATGTAGCTGTGCTGGAGTCTCACCACATCTGCTGTGATTCTGGGGGCTGCCTGATTCGTGAATCATTCATTGCTCAATTAAGTTCCTTTAAATTTAATTCAGCTGAAGATTTTCTTTTAATAGATGGTGTCAGAAGTGGGATCTGTGGTAGCAGGACTGCTAGGGCCTCCGGAGCTATAGTGTGGTGAGCAGCGTTGCTAGGGCTTCTAATGACCCCCAGGAGTGCTGAGGTACAAGAAAGGCACCTGCAAGGACTGCTCTGTGATGGCAGCAGTGGTCCACGTGGAGCAGTTGCTATGGAGACACTGGCTGCAGTGGGGAGGAGTGGCTGGGGCTGTGCGCTCCTCGAAGCTGGTGGGAGCCAGGAACGGGTGGGAGACCCACCCCTTCTAAATTGGCAGGCTGGAGCTCCGCCCTCCCAGGCACAGCTGCAGCCATCCAGCCATGACTGCAAACCAGGGCATCTTTGCACTCTCAGAGGCCCAGCAAGCCCCCCTGCCCCCGCAGGCTCAGTCGTACCTGGTCCCACCACCTGGCATCTCTCCACTCCCAGAGCCCACTCCAACTTCGGATCCAAGTTGAGGCTGAACCCAGGCACAGTCGCAACCCGGCCCGGTTTGTGCAAGCTCAGGGCAGTGCTGACATGCCAGCCCCCTGCCACCTCGGCCCCCTCCAGACTTTGGGCAGTGACGAGCACAAGAGGGAGGTTGAGGTGGGGCTAAGAGTGGCTCAGCACTGGCCTGAAGGCACTCCTCAGCTCGAACAGCCTCGTCAATGTGGGCACAGCTAACCTCAGTGTGTCTCTCTCAGCTGCTGAGAGCTGAACAGACGTTTGGATGACCTGCCTGCAGAAAGGAGTTACCCACTGCAGTTCTCCTCTGAGCTGTACTGTTGCTCAATAAAGCACCTCTTCACCTTGCTCACCTTCTACTTGCCCACATACCTCATTCTTCCTGGACTCAGGACAAGAACTCGGGACCTGCAAACTAGCAGGGCTGAAAGAGGTGTAACATAAACAGGGCTGAAACGCCCCCCTTGCTTGCCAAATTGCAGGCAAGAAGAAGAGAAGAGAGAAGGAGACAAGAGCTGTGGCCCTTCAGGGAGCCCAGACCTAGGAGCTCCCCAAGCCAGGGCTGTGATGCCTTCTTTGGGACTCTGCAGTTCCTGCATCTCCAAGTTTCTGGGCGCCACTGCATTCCCTGATACACACAGTGGAAGCTGTTTGCAGTCGGTCTGGTCTAGCTGCAGCCTCACAGGGAGCTGGCACCTGTACCAGTACCTGGAGTGGCCCACCTCACTGCAGCTGGCATGCTTGGCTGTGTGCAGTGGCCAGATCCCATGCTTGGTTGCTCACACACCCTTCACTGCTCTGTACCCAGCTCACCCTTGGCAGGTGTGGGATCCACACCACTAGCATGAGCCGAGTGGACGGAACGAACCCAGTGGGCCCGAGCAAAACACAGGTAAAGGCGCCACCAGCCAGAGGTTTCAGGCAGAAAAGTGACGTCTCAGGATTCTGTAACACTTGTGCACTTTGACCTCTCAGAGCAGCTGGGGATCATGGTAAATTCTCTCTCGGATTTCAGAGCTCCATGGATTTGTGTTTTGAGCTCTGAGTTTCTTTGAGCAAATTTCTGTTCCAAACTGCTATCCAGCCATGACTGACTGGATGTTTTAGAAGTTATGACAGAAACGGGACCGGGTCCAGGATCAGATTTGATCCAGTAGTTAACTGGCTTGAATCCAGTTCCAGTTAGAGACCTCCTACATCTGAATGGGTCAGAAGGAAAGTGGTAGTAAATGATAATTTTGGAGGGTTGTAAAATTTGGCTTTTGAAAATTCACAGGGATTTTTGTGTTCTACCCCTTTGTTTCATTTTCCTCGCACGCTTAGGTAGGAAAAAAAAATCATTGGCTAAGTCAATCAAGGGAACCTGGGAGTAAAGCCAATATATTAGGTAAAAATAGGATCCTTAATTTCTGGAAAACTTAGTTCCTTCTGGCTAATTCATTAGGCCTGGGAAGCGGCAAAGTCTTACAGAAATGGCAAAATCTTATTAAAGATAACTTACAGTGGAACATTCCAAATGAATAATGCCCTGAAGTGCATTTAAAAATGAGGGCTCCCAAATTAGTCTCATCTAGGGATGCCTATTAATATGCAGAAGCTTCTAAAAAGATTTAGAGGTGGCACGGCCTATCTGGGAGCAAGTTTGGGTCTTACCAGTTTGACACTGGGTGCTAAGCAAAGTGGCTCGTGTCTATGTTTTGTCACATGTATTTTGCTCTGAGCAGAATGAAAAATGTTAATTTGGTTACTCCAAGCAACCTCTTGGGCAGCATGTTGCAAAGCTGAGTGGATTCTTCCTGTGGCTCCATGATTTCCATTGTGATGCAGCTTGGCCCCAGAGCTATAATATGGAGAGGAGGGTGACAGAGCAAGAGGTTATCTTTAAAAAAAAATGGCCAGGGGCAGTGGCTCATGCCTGTAATCCCAACACTT
This sequence comes from Homo sapiens, assembly GCF_000001405.40. Lineage (NCBI taxonomy): Eukaryota > Metazoa > Chordata > Mammalia > Primates > Hominidae > Homo > Homo sapiens. Next base: position 12,800,979 of record NC_000022.11, read on the forward strand.
GGGGAGGCCGAGGCAGGTGGATCACCTGAGGTCAGGAGTTCAGGGCCAGCCTGACCAACAAGGAAAAACCCCGTCTCTACTAAAAACACAAAATTAGCTGGGCATGGTGTGGCATGCCTCTAATCCCAGCTACTCAGGAGGCTAGGGCGGGAGAATTGCTTGAACCTGGGAGGCAGGGGGTTGCAGTAAACCGAGATCGCATCATTGCACTCCAGCCTGGGCAACAAGAGGGAAAATCCACCTCCAAAAAAGAAAAGAATAATAGATTGGCCTATAAGGTTTTATGAAAAAGTGGGTGACATTTGGCTTTCTCTCTTTAAAGAAGATTTTCAGAAAATATTAAAAAATAATGGGAGGAGGAGCCAAGATGGCCGAATAGGAACAGCTCGAGTCTACAGCTCCCAGCATGAATGACGCAGAAGACCGGTGATTTCTGCATTTCCATTTGAGGTACTGGGTTCATCTCACTAGGGAGTGCCAGACAGTGGGCGCAGGACAGTGGGTGAAGTGCACTGTGCACTAGCTGAAGCAGGGCGAGTCATTGCCTCACTCAGGAAGTGCAAGGGGTCAGGGAGTTAGCTCCCTTTCCTGGTCAAGGAAAGGGGTGACAGACGGCACCTGGAAAATCGGGTCACTCTCACCCTAACACTGTGCTTTTCTGACGGGCTTAGGAAACGGCACACCAGGAGATTATATCTGGCACCTGGCTCAGAGTGTCCTACGCACACGGAGTCTCGCTGATTGCTAACACAGCAGTATGAGATCAAACTGCAAGGCAGCAGCAAGGCTGGGGGAGGGGCACCGGCTATTGCCCAGGCTCTCTTAGGTAAACAAAGCAGCCAGGAAGCTCGAACTGGGTGGAGCCCACCACAGCTCAAGGAGGCCGTCCTGCCTCTGCAGGCTCCACCTCTGGGGGCAGGGCACAGACAAACAAAAAGACAGCAGTAACCTCTGCAGACTTAAATGTCCCTGTCTGACAGCTTTGAGGAGAGCAGTGGTTCTCCCAGCACGCAGCTGGAGATCTGAGAATGGGCAGACTGCCTCCTCAAGTGGGTCCCTGACCCCCAAACAGCCTAACTGTGAGGCACCCCCCAGTAGGGGCAGACTGACATCTCACACGACCAGGTACTCCTCTGAGACAAAACTTCCAGAGGAACGATCAGACAGCAGCATTCGCGGATCACGAAAATCCACGGTTTTGCAGACACCACTACTGATAGCCAGGCAAACAGGGTCTGGAATGGGCCTCTAGCAAACTCCAACAGACCTGAAGTTGAGGGTCATGTCTGTTAGAAGGAAAACTAACAAACAGGAAGGACATCCACACCAAAAACCCATCTGTACATCACCATCATCAAAGACCAAAAGTAGATAAAACCACAAAGATGGGGAAAAAACAGAGCAGGAAAACTGGAAACTCTAAAAAGCAGAGCACCTCTCCTCTGCCAAAGGAACGCTGTTTCTCACCAGCAATGGAAAAAAGCTGGACAGAGAATGACTTTGACGAGTTGAGAGAAGAGGGCTTCGGATGATCAAACTACTCCGAGCTACAGGAGGAAATTCAAACCAAAGGCAAAGAAGTTGAAAACTTTGAAAAAACTTTAGACGAATGTATAACTAGAATAACCAATATAGAGAAGTGCTTAAAGGAGCTAATGGAGCTGAAAGCCAAGGCTCGAGAACTATGTGAAGAATGCAGAAGCCTCAGGAGATGATGAGATCAACTGGAAGAAAGTGTATCAGTGATGAAAGATGAAATGAATGAAATGAAACAAGAAGGGAAGTTTAGAAAAAAAAGAATAAGAAGAAATGAACAAAGCCTCCAAGAAATATGGGACTATATGAAAAGACCAAATCTGCATCTGATTGGTGTACCTGAAAGTGACGGGGAGAATGGAACCAAGTTGGAAAACACTCTGCAGGATATTATCCTGGAGAACTTCCCCAATCCAGCAAAGCCAGCCAACATTCAGATTCAGGAAATACAGAGAACGCCACAAAGATACTCCTCGAGAACAGCAACTCCAAGACACATAATTGTGAGATTCACCAAAGTTGAAATGAAGGAAAAAATATTAAGGGCAACCAGAGAGAAAGGTCAGGTTACCCATAAAGGGAAGCCCATCAGAATAACTGCTGATCTCTTGGCAGAAACTCTGCAAGCAAGAAGAGAGTGGGGGCCAATATTCAACATTCTTACAGAAAAGAATTTTCAACCCAGAATTTCATATCCAGCCAAACTAAGCTTCATAAGTGAAGGAGAAATAAAATACTTTACAGACAAGCAAATGCTGAGCGATTTTGTCACCACCAGGCCTGTCCTAAAAGAGCTCCTGAAGGAAGCACTAAACATGGAAAGGCACAATCGGTACCACCCACTGCAAAAACATGCCAAATTGTAAAGAACATCAAGACTAGGAAGAAACTGCGTCAATTAACGAGCAAAATAACCAGCTAACATCATAATGACAGGATCAAATTCACACATAACAATATTAACTTTAAATGTAAATGGACTAAATGCTCCAATTAAAAGACACAGACTGGCTAATTGGATAAAGAGTCAAGACCCATCAGTGTGCTGTATTCAGGAAACCCACGTCACGTGCAGAGACACATATAGGCTCAAAATAAAAGGATGGAGGAAGATCTACCAAGCAAATGGAAAACAAAAAAAGGCAGGGGTTGCAATCCTAGACTCTGATGGAACAGACTGTAAACCAACAAAGATCAAAAGAGACAAAGAAGACCATTATATAATGGTAAAGGGATCAATTCAACAAGAAGAGCTAACTATCCTAAATATATATGCACCCAATACAGGAGCACCCAGATTCATAAAGCAAGTCCTGAGTGACCTACAAAGAGACTTAGACTCCCACACAATAATAATGGGAGACTTTAACACCCCACTGTCAACATTAGACAGATCAATAAGACAGAAAGTTCACAAGGATACCAAGGAATTGAACTCAGCCCTGCACCAAGTGGACCTAACAGACATCTACAGAACTCTCCACCCCAAATCAACAGAATATACATTTTTTTCAGCATCACACCACACCTATTCCAAAATTGACCACATACTTGGAAGTAAAGCCCTCTTCAGCAAATGTAAAAGAACAGAAATTAAACTGTCTCTCAGACCACAGTGCAATCAAACTAAAACTCGGCATTAAGAAACTCACTCAAAACTGCTCAACTACATGGAAACTGAACAACCTGCTCCTGTATGACTAATGGGTACATAATAAAATGAAGGCAGAAATAAAGATGTTCTTTGAAACCAACGAGAACAAAGACACAACATACCGGAATCTCTGGGACACATTCAAAGCAGTGTGTACAGGGAAATTTATAGCACTAAATGCCCACAAGGGAAAGCAGGAAAGATCCAAAATTGACACCCTAATATCACAATTAAAAGAACTAGAAAAGCAAGAGCAAACACATTCAAAAGCTAGCAGAAGGCAAGAAATAACTAAAATCAGAGCAGAACTGAAGGAAATAGCAACAAAAAAACGCTTCAAAAAATTAATGAATCCAGGAGCTGGTTTTATGAAAGGATCAACAAAATTGATACACTGCTAGCAGGACTAATAAAGAAAAAAAGAGAGAAGAATCAAATAGACACAATAAAAATAATAAAGGGGATATCACCACTGATCCCTCAGAAATACAAACTACCATCAGAGAATACTACAAACACCTCTACACAAATAAACTAGAAAATCTAGAAGAAATGGATAAATTCCTCCACACATACACTCTCCCAAGACTAAACCAGGAAGAAGTTGAATCTCTGAATAGACCAATAACAGGATCTGAAATTGTGTCAATAATCAATAGCTTACCAACCAAAAAGAGTCCAGGACCAGATGGATTCACAGCCAAATTCTACCAGAGGTACAAGGAGGAACTGTTACCATTCCTTCTGAAGCTATTCCAATCAATAAAAAAAGAAGGAGTCCTCCCTAACTCAATTTATGAGGCCAGCATCATCCTGATACCAAAGCCGGGAAGAGACACAACCAAAAAATAGAATTTTAGACCAATATCCTTGACGAACATTGATGCAAAAATCCTCAATAAAATACTGGCAAACCGAATCCAGCAGCACATCAAAAAGCTTATCCACCATGATCAAGTGGGTTTCATCCCTGGGATGCAAGGCTGGTTCAATATACGCAAATCAATAAATGTAATCCAGCATATAAACAGAACCAAAGACAAAAACCACATGATTATCTCAATAGATGCAGAAAAGGCCTTTGACAAAATTCAACAATGCTTCATGCTAAAAACTCTCAATAAATTAGGTATTGATGGGACTTATCTCAAAATAATAAGAGCTATCTATGACAAACCCACAGTCAATATCATACTGAATGGGCAAAAACTAGAAGCATTCCCTTTGAAAACGGGCACAAGACAGGGATGCCCTCTCTCATCACTCCTATTCAATATAGTGTTGGGAGTTCTGGCCAGGGCAATCAGGCAGGAGAAGGAAATAAAGGGTATTCAATTAGGAAAAGAAGAAGTCAAATTGTCCCTCTTTGCAGATGACATGATTGTATATCTAGAAAACCCCATTGTCTCAGCCCAAAATCTCCTTAAGCTGATAAGTAACCTCAGCAAAGTCTCAGGATACAAAATCAATGTACAAAAATCACAAGCATTCTTATACACCAATAACAGACAAACAGAGAGCCAAATCATGAGTGAACTCCCATATGCAATTGCTTCAAAGAGAATAAAATACTTAGGAATCCAATTTACAAGGGACATGAAGGACCTCTTCAAGGAGAACTACAAACCACTGCTCAATGAAATAAAAGAGGATAAAAACAAATGGAAGAACATTCCATACTCATGGATAGGAAGAATCAATATCATGAAAATGGCCATACTGCCCAAGGTAATGTATAGATTCAATGCCATCCCCATCAAGCTACCAATGACTTTCTTCACAGAATTGGAAAAAACTACTTTAAAGTTCATATGGAACCAAAAAAGAGCCTGCATCACCAAGTCAATCCTAAGCCAAAAGAACAAAGCTGGAGACATCACCTTACCTGACTTCAAACTATACTACAAGGCTACAGTAACCAAAACAGCATGGTACGGGTACCAAAACAGAGATATAGACCAATGGAACAGAACAGAGCCCTCAGAAATAATGCCGCATATGTACAACTATCTGATCTTTGACAAACCTGACAAAAACAAGGAGTGGGTCCCCTATTTAATAAATGGTGCTGGGAAAACTGGCTAGCCATATGTAGAAAGCTGAAACTGGATCCCTTCCTTACACCTTATACAAAAATTAATTCAAGATGGATTAAAGACTTAAATGTTAGACCTGAAACCATAAAAACCCTAGAAGTAAAACTAGGCATTACCATTCAGGACATAGGCATGGGCAAGTACTTCATGTCTAAAACACCAGAAGCAATGGCAACAAAAGCCAAAATTGACAAATGGGATCTAATTAAACTAAAGAACTTCTGCACAGCAGAAGAAACTGCCATCAGAGTGAACAGGCAACCTACAAAATGGGAGAAAATTTTTGCAACCTACTCATCTGACAAAGGGCTAATATCCAGAATCTACAACGAACTTAAACAAATTTACAAGAAAAGAAATACACCCCATCAAAAAGTGGGTGAAGGATATGAACAGACACTTCTCAAAAGAAGACCTTTATGCAGCCAAAAGACACATGAAAAAATGCTCATCATCACTGGCCATCAGAGAAATGCAAATCAAAACCACAATGAGATAACATCTCACAACATTTAGAATCACAATCATTAAAAAGTCAGGAAACAACAGGTGCTGGAGAGGATGTGGAGAAATAGAAACACTTTTAAACTGTTGGTGGGACTGTAAACTAGTTCAACGATTGTGGAAGTCAGTGTGGCGATTCCTCAAGTATCTGGAACTAGAAATACCATTTGATCCAGCCATCCCATTAGTGGGTATATAACCAAAGGACTATAAATCATGCTGCTATAAACACACATGCACACGTATGTTTTTTGCGGCACTATTCACAATAGCAAAGACTTGGAACCGACCCAAATGTCCAACAACGATAGACTGGATTGAGAAATTGTGGCACATATACACCATGGAATACTATGCAGCCATAAAAAATGATGAGTTCATGTCCTTTGTAGGGATATGGATGAAATTGGAAATCATCATTCTCAGTAAACTATCACAAGGACAAAAAACCAATCACTGAATGTTCTCAATCATAGATGGGAATTGAACAATGAGAACACATGGACAAAGGAAGGGGAACATCACACTCTGGGGACTGTTGTGGGGTGGGGGGAGGGGGGAGGGATAGCATTAGGAGATATACCTAATGCTAAATGACGAGTTAATGGGTGCAGCCCACCAGACTGGCACATGTATACATATGTAACTAACTGGCACATTGTGCACATAAACCCTAAAACTTAAAGTATAATAATAATAATAATAATAATAATAAAATAAAATTAAAAAATGAAAAATTTGTTTGCCTTGTAAATAAACTACCAAAAAAAAAAGGAAAAACAAGAGGCAGATTATTTGTGGAGATAAGTCTTCCCCCTATCAATGAGTAAATATTTTTGCCCTTTAAAAATTTTTTAAGTCATGATTTTAGGTAAATGAATGACTTACGTTGATGTGGAATTCTATTTCATAACATCAAGTGTTTAAACCTTTAATATATTTAATACGCTTCCCAAAATCAAATTGCAACTTCAAAATTTTATGTTCTGACCTCTAACTTTGGGATACTACAGAGGCCCCTGAAGCACCCAAAAGAGAGGTAAACAGGACTATTTAACATGTTAAGTCACATGGCTAGCACTGTCAAAATACAAAATAATGTTGAACCTTCTTTAGGTTATATTCAGTGTATGTCATCAATCCATTCTAAAATTGTATAGGATTTCTAAAATTCTTGTATTTTTTTTTTCTGAGAAGGAGTCTTGCTCTGTCACCCAGGCTGGAGTACAGTGGTGCAATCTTGGCTCACTGCAACCTCCACCTCCCGGGTTCATGCCATTCTCCTGCCTCAGCCTCCTGAGTAGCTGGGACTACAGGCACCCACCACCATGCCAGGCTAATTTTTGTATTTTTAGCAAAGACGGATTTCACTGTGTTAGCCAGGATGGTCTCGATCTCCTGACCTCGTGATCCTTCCACCTCGGCCTCCCAAAGTGCTGGGATTACAGGCATGAGCCACCACATCCACCCTAATTATGGTTATTAAGTTATTGTAGACCACAGAAATAACCAAATTTCCTTGTCAATTGTCTTTATCTATAACTATTTAAAGTCATTTCCACAGTTAATTGCTTAATGGTGATGCAGTTTCTAAAAACTTCACAAGCATGCAAAATTCTAGAATATGGTGTCTCTTAGAAGATTCATGAAAGAATGAAAAGGATCCTGAAAAACACTCGTGAACACAGATTTTTAATAACTTTAATATAATGGGTAAAAATTCCCCATAAGTTCCCTGATACCCCAAGAATTGGACAGGTTAAGAATTCTCAAAAGTTAGGCTGGGTGCAGCGGCTCACGTTGGCAATCCCAGCACTTTGGGAGGCCAAGGCCAGTGGATCACTTGAGGTCAGGAGTTTGAGACCAGCCTGGCCAACGGTGAAACCCCACCTCTACTAAAAATGTAAAAATTAGCCGGGTGTGGTGGTATGTGCCTGTAATCCCAGCTACTCTGGAGGCTGAGGCAAGAGAATTGTTTGAAACCAGGAGGTGGAGGTTGCAGTGAGCCAAGATTGTGCCACTGCACTCCAACCTAGGTAACAGAGTGAGACTCTGTCTCGAAAAAAAATCCCAAAAGTTTAATAAATAGACCAACTTGTTTATAAAACTGCTAACCTAAGTAAAACAAAAATTGTATACCAAGGAAATATTTTGCCACATTTGCATGCTAAATCACCAATATTGAAATTGTTTAGGTATATAATTTAAATAAACTCCATGGTCTGAGTCAAATCACCTATAACTACTCATCAGTTACCAGTGCCATGCACGTAATTTGGAGAAACAGCTGGTATTCAAGAGGATGTAAGTCTAATGTTAATTAAGCACAGACTTATGAAGAACCAGGATGGCCACCTTATCCTTCTTAAGTCCTTAAAACTTTTGTTATTAAAAGTTCTGCATTCCATAACTCATCATGGAAAGAGAAAATGATCCAAATTAAATATATTGGTGTGGTGATTTCTAAACTGTTAAAATAGTTTATAACCAATGTTTAGTTTGTCAAACCTATATTTCTAGGAAAACAATCAAAACTTCAGGTACATTTGGTTACCTGATGGGCCATTTAAACATTTTATAAAGGGATTTGATTCAGTTGTCATTTTTAGTGCATGTTTTCTGATTGTATAAAAGCTCTTCCATGCGAGAGAGTTGATGTTAAAACAGTAGATTATTACCCTGAAGTGTATTTTCACCAGGTAAAGAAAGCCTTTTATGGTTCACTGAGGACAGTCAACCCCTTCAAAATCTGGAATCTGATGACTGGATCTTCTGAGAACATCAGAGAAGGACTGCCCTTGCCATCCACATGACAGCAAAACTTTAAAACCTTAAACTTTGGGTTCATAGTCTCACAACTCAGAAAGGTCCTTCCACACTTGGAACCATATACCCATTGGAACCCTTAAGGTAAAGCTAACAAGGACAGTTCCCCCCAGAAGAAGATGGCATCCTTAATGTGAACAGCTTTTCCCAAGATCACAGATCAAGACTTCTCTACTAACATGAGACACTTATCTTAAGTATCTGTGCAGCTGCTAACACTTACAGCATGTGGAGAAAACATGGGGTATTATAAAAATTTGGTTGTAGGGAATTAACAAAAAAACCCACTTAGTTAAGCAAGTAAACTCTTTATCTAATTCATTCTTTAATCTATTTTATTTTAGGTGGTTTGATTTATGGGGACCCTGAGTTAGGAGCATATACCAAATTCTTGGTGTTATCCCAACAGTCATAAGAGTCTCCCTGGTGCACTGTACTTACTCAAATGTTTTAAGAGTTTGCATGCAGGCATCTCTAAAATATCAAATGGTATCTCTTCAACTGGAATGACAAGAGATTAAAAAAAAGTGCAACCGTAAGGACACCATAACCTATGAGTGACATGCTAAACCGGAAACTCAAAACAATGGGGGTGACATGCTAAACCAGAAACCCAAAACAATGGGAGTGATGTACTAAAACGGGAACCCAAAACAATGGGAGTGACGTGCACTAAAATCAGAACCCAAAACAATGGGAGTGACGTGCTAAACAAGAAACCCAAAACAATGGGAGTGACTTGCTAAAACTGGAACCCAAAACAATGGGAGTGACGTGCCAAAAGAGGAAATGAAAACAATGGGAGTGATGTGCTTAAACCAGAACCCAAAACAATGGGAGTGACCTGCAAAACCAGAAACCCAAAACAATGGGAGTGACGTGCTAAACCAGAAACCCAAAACAATGAGAGTGATATACTAAAACTGGAACCCAAAACAATGGGGGTGATGTGCACTAAAATCAGAACCCAAAACAATGGGAGTGACTTGCTAAAACTGGAACCCAAAACAATGGGAGTGATGTGCTAAAACCGGAAATGAAAACAATGGGAGTGATGTGCTAAAACCGGAACCCAAAACAATGGGAGTGACCTGCTAAACCAGAAACCCAAAACAATGGGAGCATCCTGCTAAATCAGAAACTGAAAACAATGGGAGTGACCTGCTAAACCAGAAACCCAAAACAATGGGAGTGACGTGCTAAAACCAGAAACCCGAAACAATGGGAGCGTCCTGCTAAACCAGAAACCCAAAACAATGGGAGTGACGTGCTAAACCCGAACCCCAAACAATGGGAGTGACGTGCTAAAACTGGAACCCAAAACAATGGTAAGAGTGATGCTAAGGCCCTACATTTTGGTCACACTCTCAACTAAGTGAGAACTTGACTGAAAAGGAGGACTTTTTTTTCTAAGACAGAGTCTTGGTCTGTCCCCCAGAGTGGAGTGCAGTGGCACAATCTTGGCTCACTGCAAGCTCTGCCTCCCAGGTTCAGGCCATTCTCCTACCTCAGCCTCCTGAGTAGCTGGGACTACAGGAACCCACCACTATGCTTGGCTAATTTTTTGTATTTTTAGTAGAGATGGGGTTTCACCATATTAGCAAGGATGGTCTCAATCTCCTGACCTCGTGATCTGCCCAACTCAGCCTCCCAAAGTGCTGGGATTACATGTGTGAGCCACCACGCCCAGCCAAAAGGAGGAATTTTTTAAGCAAAATTATGGGAGGTCATTGTTTTGAACTAAACTCATGCAATAGGTCCCAACAGACCAAACCAAACCAAAATGGAGTCACTCATGCTAAATGTAACATAATGAAACTAAGACTTTAAAGAAACACATAAATCCTAGAACAAACCAGGTTTTGTTTTTCTCCTGTAAACAGGATGTTCCAGCATAAGAAGATACCTTCTACTCAAGTCCTTGTTCCACCTTTTCAAATCTCACTGGTCTATTTCCCAGTGGGTTTCTAAACCAAGTAAGTACATTTGCAATGGTAATAGTGACACCAGTGACTGAAGTTTTGGCCAATCTCTCAAAATTGAGAAAATAACCAAAGGGAAGGCATTGTTAAAGTGAACTAAGTATGGCCTGAGAAGGACTCCATAATTCTATATATGAGTCATTGTGGATGAACTGTAACCTACCTTAATAGGTATAGAAGAATGAAAAACTAACTTAAGAGTATGCACCTTGAACAACAGCTACATCTTGGCCAATCCCAATGGCCAAACTTCAACCACTCAGGCACTGGCAAATGTTCAAACTGTGTTCAAACAAGGCAAACACTGAGTTGTTTCTGTACCTCACTTCCGATTTCGGTATGCCATTTCCCTTTTGTCTATAAATCTTCTTCCACCACATGAATGCGCTGGAGTCTCTGTGAATCTGATGTGATTCTGGGTACTGTCTGATTCGTGAATCGTTTATTGCTCTATTAAACTCCTTTAAAGTTTTTCTTTTAACAGAACTAACACAGAAGAATTTCCAGATCATGAACAGATGTTTTGTAATACCCAACGTTGTAACATGAATAGACTCTCCCTTAGATAGCTAACCTTGTTTTTAATATGAATAGACTCTCCCTTAGCTGAGAAAACCAGACAAACTCCATTTGGCTCCTTCATTTACAAGACATCAAGGGCTCCCTACCCACCCCCTTTCCTCAAGGACTTTAACTTGTGCAAGTTGACTTTCAACATATCAAAGAGTGCAATTAACTGATAAAGTGCTTAGACAAGCGATGTCTGCAGTTCCCAGCAATTTATTCAGAGATAGTATCATAAAGCCCCACATTTGTCTGGCAGATAATGCCCAGAGCCCCCTCACCTATCACTTTGTGGTGAATTTAAAGCCCCTGCACCTGGAACAGTTTGTTTTCCTGTAACCATCTGTCTTTTTAACTTTTTTGTCTGTTTTTTTCTTCTGTAAAGTTGCTGCAGCTAGAATCCCCCCTCCCCTCTCTAAACCAAAGTATAAAAGAAAATCTAGTCCCTTCTTCGGGGCCGAGAGAATTTCGTGCATTAGCCGTCTCTCAGTCACCAGCTAATAAAGGACCCCTGAATTCGTCTCAAAGTGTGGCGTTTATCTCTAACTCACTCGGGTACGACAGTTTCAACTATGGTAGAAGACTTGAGTAAGTCAAATACAGTCCCCCTAAATTTGACTATTAATTAGGTTAATGGTGAGCTTAGAAGAAATAAGTTAAGACTACACAGAGTGGGCTAAAGTGCAAATAAACACTGGAAATATTTCCCAGAAAATATGACTTTGAACAGGCTGCTGCACACCCTGCATGTAGAGATAAACTAAGAAAAATGTCTGGAGAGTTATTTAAGGGCCTATGGTTAACTCAGTCGTCAAGATGTTCTGGGTTTCATCCATGAATCAAGGAGGACCTCCCAAAAGCTGTTTGGGACCACACTCTTTGAGCAATGAGCACACCTTACGATGGAAGCTGTGCTTTAGCGGCAGATGACCATTTCCACTGCACAACACGCCGTGCTTTAGCGGAAGATGACCGTTTCCACTGTACAACACTACAAGTGGTTACTGCCAGGCCGGTGTGAAATATGTTCCAGCACATAATCTATGTCACCAGTGAAGGTGGTGGTTCGGACTTGGTGCACACAATCTTTCCTGTCCCACAAGAACACAGCATGCTCTCTTCTCGGGTTCCATTCCAATTACGTAACAAATATGACTGCCTTTTTTGTCTCAGCATCAGAAAGATCAGAGGAAAATTTGCACCCAACTTAGACTACTCTAAGCTCTTATAACCTGCCTATATCTACAGGTCAGCTTTATCTTATTTATGTATATTTCCTTCAACCTGAGTTTTACTTATTTCTGCTTTTCCTTTTTAATTCACAGACACCCATAAACTCAGAAAATACAGTGTAAAACAAAGTGAAGAACAAGGAAGCAACTCACCAGAGATTTATTCGTTTCTTGTTGCTCTTGGAAACACCCAGAGGACACTGGAAACATAGCTGGGATAGAAGGCAAATGACGTGGATTAAGGAGAGAACTGGTGTGGTGTGGTCCCAGATTCTTCTGCCCAACGCTCTAGACACATTACCCGGAAAGCCCTCCTCCCTCCTGAAAAAGAAAAACTTCTCCAGGGGAGAAGAGTTCTTCACGCCTCATTAGGGGCAGCAGAGGCTCAAGTTAAGATAAGATACATAGACAAGTACATTAATTGGTAGACATTAGATGCACAATTTATTTTTGAATAAATATATGTATTACCTACTAATTTAGTAACAATATTATCTAAAGATATAATCTAATAATTTAATACAAAGAAACATAAGTTCACTAAAATAAATGTTATAGAAATATACTGGGCTGTATTAACTATTTTCCTATTAATATGTAGATTTCACAAATAACTTCATATGAGTGTTCCCGTGACAGTACCTCTTGATTTTCTACACCTGAACATCATGGAAAGTGCATCTAGCAAACCAGCAATTTTGGCCTACAATTACGCTTTTTAAAATGTACATAATGCGTATTGCCTACACTACACCATTCTACTCATGTTTCCCAATAACACCTTTCCTTCTATCCAAGCCCTCATATTATGCTCTGACAATAAATTGGGCTTTTCCATCTGACTTGTCCAGTGAATGGACAATGGAAAATGTGATGCAAATATCCATTGGTTCTTCCTTTTTTGGGAGAAATTGTGAAGAGGTCTGGAGCTACCCTGTTGGAGACACAGGGCCTAGACAAGAGTCACCACAAACCACCAGATTGTGAAGGAAACTATCTTAAACCAACCAGGCTCAGTCAAGGCACCAGGTGACTAAGGCCTTTTTGTGATCCAGGCAACACAAATATATCAACTACCCAGGTGAATCCACCACACCAAAATGCAGATCCACAGAACTTCAAACAAATAAAATGGTGGTTGTTTTTTATAAGCCAGTAAGGTTTAATTAGTTCCTTAAACAGCAAGTATTAACTGTTACACCTAAGTGAACAGAATTCACTTCTGTGTTTTTAACAAAATTATGTAGGGGGAGAAAATCTTAAATTACAAATCAAATACAATCAATAGAACTTCGCAATCTAATGCTAAATTTGGTGATGGACTAGGTTTAATATATCTCAGACGCGAAAAAACGAGCTAAGATTGAAGGAATGGGACTGTGTTTGGAGAGTATTTTAATCCTCTCAAGTATGACAGGTCACTCCTGTACCCCAGACCACACTTTCAGGCCCCTTCAAATAAGGAATATTTCCTAAGTCCTTGCCTGTTTTTCTCAGCTGAATTCACCTCAACCTTCTGAAAGTTCGTCCAAACCTTCTACTATCACCTAGTCTTTGCAAATCTTGTGCATTCTAGGGAGTAGAATTAATATTTCCTGAGCAAGGAAAACTGGGATCTTCACCTGTGACCTTTTTTCCTCCTCTGAAGCACCAGTGAGAGGTTAGACCAGACGGCTGTTCTTTCAAGTGTGCTTCTTATTCATAGGGAACCCTCCCTTTCAAACTTTCTAACACACAGTTAAGACTGAAGTACCCTTAAGGCTGACGACCATCATCTATTACGCCATCTCCCTCGCGGAATCAGTGAGTTCTTCCCTGGAAACTAGGTCTCGTATAAACTTCTGTAAATGCGACCCAGGAGGACTAGGCAGGTCACACAGTGAAGGAGGGAACCAGAAACTTCACTTGCTAAAGAGACACCAGGAAACCCAACTAATACAAACGTCAAGTTTAAGACTAGCGGCGCACGCATTTCACACTACTCCTCTGGGAATGGGGAACGTCTCCCGAGAACTGTGTGTTAGCACTGGGACAGATGGGCAAACTGAGCATCATGCGGGTTGGTAACCGTGTCCCTCAGCGGCAGGACAGGAGCACGGCCTGCAGACTCCGGGCCCAGGGCCACCGGCCTCTCCTACCCGCTCCTGTGTCTCTAGAACCCGCGTCACTGCTGGGCCCCCACGCCTGTCCTCCCAGCCCCCGCCAGGGTCGGCAGCCCGCTCCTGCTCTTCAGGCCCTGCCCTCCCTCGATGCGCCCACGCGTCTGCTCCCACAACTAGGGAACACTGGTCCGGCCCCCTGGGATCCCCTGAGGCTCACGGGTTCCTCCTGGCCCTTGCACCGACCCACAGGGACATAGAACCAAGCCCCAAGCCGGCCCAGCTACAGGACCGCCTCTGGGTGCCACACTTCCAGAGGAAAATGGCGGAGTGGGCCGGGTGGCGCATGCGCAGAGAGAAAAGCTGGTTCCCAAAGTCCTTGATGGTAACGTCATTGGAAGGTGACACTACAATTCCCATGAAGCTTTGCGGTCCCCCTTTAGGAACCCATGCCGGACATTCTGTTTTGCCCAGCAGTTGAGTCCAGTTACCCAGAGACCCGGACTTAATGTATCAGGACTGGTCCCTACCCAGGTGACACAGATGTGGCATTCTGGTTCTTTATTAAATACTGGTTTCACAGCCTGGGACATTGTGAAAATAATGGAGAAATTTCAATAGAGGCCAATTGGTCTATGCTATTAATCAGTAACTTTTTTTTTTTTTTTTGAGACGGAGTCTCACTCTGTCACCCAGGCTGGAATGCAATGGTGCGATCTTGGCTCACTGCAACCTCCGCTTCCCGGGTTCAAGTGATTCTCCTGCCTCAGCCTCCTAAGTACCTGGGATTACAGGCGCGCGCCACCACACTCGCCTAATTTTTGTATTTTTAGTACAGACGGGTTTTCACCATGTTGGTCAGGCTGGTCTCCAACTCCTGACCTCGTGATCCGCCCTCCTCGGCCTCCCAAGGTGCTGGGATTACAAGCGTGAGCCACTGCGCCCAGCCCTCAAGTCTATTTTTTATAGATGCATTCAAAAGCATGAAAAAAATCATGTCTCTATTTTACTTTAAAATTTTAAAAACACAACTAATGAATATGGTAATTCTCTTCCAATCTGTTATCTTTTCTCTCACTAAACTAATTTGTGAGCCTTCAATTTACACAGTTAGAAAATATGCTCTAGTGCATATACTAGGATAAAATAACAGGGTCATAAGACAGGTGCACTCCATAATCTTTGTGACAACTTTCACTTCCAGTGTCTGATAAATATTTGCCCGTAGACTCCCACGTTTCATCCATCCATCAATCAATCAAATCTACCTATCTTTATTTATTTATTGTGAGAAAGACCTGAAATTTGCCTTTCCTTCCCTGATTTCTGCCACAAACTAGGCAAGGAGTTCTGCATAGGGGTTTCTCAGAGCTCTGGCTACCACCGATGTTCCTAACAGGGAAACGCAGGCTTGAAAGCTCAGGGTTGATGTGGGAGTGCGTGTGAAACGGGGGTGGGGTGAAAGGGCAGTGACGTTTGTAGGTGGGCAGATGGGGGTGTTGATAGGCTTTCAGGTAAGAGGCACGCAGGAAACTGGGAGAGGCAGCGAAAGCACCTCACAACTCAGATCACCAGAAGACGCTCCCTCCAGTGCCATGACAGTTTGCCAATGCCATGTCATCACGAGAAGTCCCCACCCCTTGCCATGGAAACAGATGGAAGTTACTGCCCATTTCTAGCTATTTCTGAATAACCCGCCCCTTAATTAGCATGCCATTAAAAGTGAATTATAAAAGTGACTACAAGCCACCCCTAGGCTGCTGCTCTGGGAGCACAACCCACGGAGGGCTCCCTGCCCTGCTGGAGTGGATGCAGGGTTGTAACACCGCCAATGCCTCCGTAGAGCTGCTTTCTTCCACCACAGGCTTGCTTTTGGATTTATTCCTGAGCGACGCCAAGAACCTGTCCTTCCTCAGTGTGACTCCTGCCTAAAACCTATCCCTGGTATTCTCTTTTCCTAAGCATGCCCTGACTTGTTCTTTCATCTCCTCTGATCTTGCAATTGGTCCTCAGTGACTCTATTCTGCAGATCCAGAAAACTCAACCTTAATCTTCCCAGAGCCCTGTTGTCTCTAATATTGGAATCTATAGCCTTGTTTTCTCAGACGCCTAGATTACAGGCCTCTCTCTTGAACACCTATTGGTATGGTATCTGGGGATCCTTTAAATACTTGATGATTGGCAGGGGTTAAATAGCGGAAATCAGTGCCTGACAATTCGCCTTCCAGGATATGGACTGTCATTCCCTCTCTTGGTGGGCCTCAGTCTCTTATCCATAAAAGTAGAGATTGTAATACTCATTGAATTGCAGATACCTCAACCCGAACCCACCTAATATAATGTAAAAGCCAAGAATGCAACCCCTTTCCTCACCCCGTGAAGGTAAAGCCCTCAGAGCCAAGGAGAGAAGGCTCAGGGATGGTATCTGGGTGTTTCCAACGCTAACCATGTATTGTAGTTTTTAGTGTTCAAGTTTAAGCTTCCCCAGCTTTAATTCTATTGTAACAAGATTTATTTTTGTAATTCCATTTTTGGATTCTTGATTTCTTGCTAAAGAAATACAGTTATTTTTGTATACCAATCTTATACAGTGTTACATTCTTAAATTTGTTCATGAGTCCTAATACTTTTTAGTAAATTTCTTACGATTTTCTAAATGCAAGATC
>NC_000022.11:12868137-12904788 GCF_000001405.40 Homo sapiens
GATCAGATAGGCTTTTGGCTCATTGTAATGAGATGTTCCTATAAACCTAATTTGAAAGACAAAGACAGAGTTTGGAGTCTTTAATTCTTGGTAAAAATCAGTAGCTCTATTTAGGGCTATATTTGCAAAATACTATTTCAACTCAAGCATATTTTTATTTACAAGGCACTTCACAAATGTTGACCACAAAGATGTTTCTACCTAGCAGAAATAATTATAGTTACATATAGTTGTCTAGGAATATCTTAAACATGGGGTATTAAAATAACTTTCAAGAACAAGAAGAAATGTTACACCAGGCATTTTTGCAACTAGTGCTCTATTTCAGTGCAATATTTGTGGCAATTAAAAAACATAAATGGCTTGGATATATAGCTAAGTTATCAAAGGAAAAATATGCAAAGGCATGATTATTTTATAAATGTGCCACATATGTGACTTGAGGTACAAATCCTCTAAGTTTAAAATTGTCTTTTTAAAAAAGAAATCAAAACAGACAAGTGGGCAATGAGTTATGGATACTATTATAGGGTACCCTGATAAACTAGTAAGAAGACGACTTTTGGTACTGAAAATTCCAATTAACCACATGCCCCCATTAAGGCCATGATCACTGCCAATTTTTACTCACAAAGGCTGGAGCTAGAGTTATATGGAATTCCATATGTATCTAAACCATAGATTTATCAATTATCACTTAAATACAACTTGGAAGACACTATCCAGAATTTGTAGGGCTTGGCCTTATTCTAGAGAAACATACACTGGAATAGGCAGTTGGATTTTAAATTCAGTCTTAAATCTGTTGAAAATAATGCATTTTTTTCTCAGAGATGAGATATTGTTCAACTCTTTTGACTTATTTTAGATTTGATAATATACAGTTCAAACACCATGGAGATTTACTAATCTGAATGAACACATACCAAATTTGTCTTTGCTCCAGTCTCGAAATCTGAGATTAATTCTAGCTGCTGAAGAAATTTTCCAGTGTTAGGAGTATGCTTCAATGCTGGTGACCGGTACTACTTTCTGGTAAACTATAGATGACATGTGTGCTTTCATTGCCTAAACTCACTTTGTAGAACACCATTAAATGAAAATCATCACCAGCAATTTGGGAGGCTAAGGCGGGCAGATCATTTGAGGTCAGGAGTTTGAGACCAGCCTGGCCAACATGATGAAACCCCGTCTCTACTGAAAATACAAAAACTTATCCAGGCATGGCGGGATGCACCTGGAATCCCAGCTACTTGGGAGGCTGAGGCAGGAAAATCGCCTGAACCCAGGATGTGAAGGTTGCAGTGAACAGAGATGTTGCCATTGCACTCCAGCCTGGGCAACAGAGTGAGACTTCATCTCCAAAAAAAGGAAAAAATGAGAGAGAGAGAGAAAAAAAATTATCAGTGTTCAGTGACTCTTTGTTTTTCATGCTGATAAACTATTACGAAGAAAAAGAAAATTTTCATGCTGATAAACTATTACACAGAAAAAGAAATGTATCCATTATGGACAATTAAAAGGGCTATACAATCTCTCTCATTGTATGATTCTAGTTTTCTTTATTTTTCTTTTCTTTTGTTCTTTTTTTTTTTAATACAGGATCTCACTCTCTCACCCAGGCTGGAATGCAGTGGCTCTATCTTGACTCACTGCAACCTCAGCCTCCTGGGTTCAAGCTATTCTCCTGCCTTAGCCTCCTGAGTAGCTAGGAATAAAGGCATTCACCACCACGCCAGCTAATTTGTGTATTTTTTTTAATACAGGTGGCGTTTTGCCATGTTGCCCAGGCTGGTCTTGAACTCCTGACCTCAAATGATCCTCCCGCCTCGGCCTCCCTAAGTGTTGGCATTACAGGCATAAGCCACCATGCTTGGCCTGATTCTGTTTTTTAACACAATTCTTATTACTTCTGTTTTAATTTTACAAAGCCATAGGTTTTTAATCTGGGAAACCTTTGAGAAAACATCCAGATAAATTTATAAATAGAAAAATAAATTCAGACAAATATAATTAAGTTTATGATCTAACAAGTGGGTGGCAACCGAAAACTTTCCAAGTTCCATAAACTGAAGTGAAAGGATCACTTTCCTGAAAATATTACAAAGGCTTGATAATTACCTGGATTGTACTAAAACCTACACAATCTAGTATATTCTATAGCAGCAATTCATAAAGACAGCTTCACTTACCATGTAGAATTTATACATACATTAAATTTAAGGAATGCGTTACTTGCTATTGGAGTAGGATAATAAACTCCCAGCAGAACTGATTTTCATGAATGCCTATTAAACTATCATTGATGTAGAAATTAAACAATATATTAAGCTATTCAGACCCAGATTGTGAGAGACAGAGAAAAACTTCAAAAAAGTTCAGCTACCAAATCCCTTCCTCAATAGCTCTTTGAGTCTCAAGACAGTTTCAACCACACACATCCTCAGAGTCTTATGGTCCAAACAACATTTGACTGCAGCTCTAAAGTAAGCAAACATTTGAAAAGAAACTCAAAGATCTATACCTGTAGTTATGGTCAAGGAGGTCCACCTACTGGTGGGTGAGCATGGCAAGGATAGGGACTAAGCCAAATGATGGGTTTACCAAAACAGAAACAAGAGAAGTCATTGGAAGCACAGTCCAGGTTATAACAGGAGCCCAGGCACTTGATGTGGGAACCCTATTTGTCTCATTCAGCACCTAGAGTTTTAACGTCCTATGAGGCACAGCTAATGCCCTTCATTATTTTTTTGTAATTGACTGCATAGTTTAGAACTATGCCTTGAATTTAATATCTATCTGTTGAATAAATGAATTAATAATGATGAAAATCTGTCCACAGGTTATGTGCAGTACTGAAGAGTAACTTCAGCTATTGAGGTATCTATCAGAAGTCTTACTCTCCAAAAAGCCTCTGGTTAGTTACTGATATACGTTGCTGATAATTTCACTCTCACAATGTAGGGGAAGCAGGAATGTTATCTGACCTCTTGGCTCCTCTTCCTTTGCCTTCCACAGATCTCTCTGCTGGTTCACAGAGGAACACTTTCGTGGCTCTCAGTTCATTTTGCAATTCTGCTAGAATCTCATTCCATCCTCAGTTGTAACTACCTTGTCCTTCACCCAATGCTTATTTACGGAGGGACAGATAGCAAGAAGAAATCGCACTCTGGATTACAAAGTGGGAAGACGCACCCCTTGGCCAGAATGCCTGCCTCCTATGTTCATGAAGGATATTTCTAATTGATCTCGGCACTCTTTTCCATTGAGCCCATGTCCCAAATTGGCCGTGAGTTAGGGAGAGGGCTCTAGAGTGGGAAAGGTGTACCCAAAACTTCCCTAATCTGACTATCAACCCTAAAAAATTAAACTTTCAATTCAACATCCCTTGTTTCTCCAACTTGGAGTGCCTGATGGTGTGGGAAGCCCCTACTCATAAAAATTCATAGTTGAAGATTGTTGGTAATTTTGCCCAACCTTCTTCTTTTCTTTTTATTCTACTTTAAGTTCTAGGGTACATGTGCACAACGTGCAGGTTCATTACATATGTATACATGTGACATGTTGGTGTGTTGCACCCATTAACTCGTCATTTACATTAGGTATATCCCCTAATGCTTTTCCTCCCCTAGCCCGTCACCCCACAACAGGTCCCGGTGTGTGATGTTCCCCTTTCTGTGTCCATGTGTACTCATTGTTTAATTCCCACCTATGAGTGAGAACATGTGGTGTTTGTTTTTTTGTCCTTGTGATAGTTTGCTGAGAATGATGGTTTCCAGCTTCATCCTTGTCCCTACAAAGGACATGAACTCATCATTTTTATGGCTGCATAGTATTCCATGGTGTATATGTGCCACATTTTCTTAATCCAGTCTATCATTGTTGGACATTTGGGTTGGTTCCAAGTCTTTGCTATTGTCAGTAGTGCCTCAATAAACTCCTTCTTTCTTTGCCTAGTTACACCTCAATGCAACCTGCTGGCAGGCCAGCCTTAAGCCCAGCAGTCCAACCATGCATCTAAGCTGAGTTCTCATCAGAGCCAACTTCAATTATAAACAACTGAGATGATGCCAGAGGCCAGAATCCCTGAGAACCCAATTTGCTGTCATCACCACAGCTGAAACAAGGCGCTTGGCATCTAGAAAAGCTGATCTGTAGGAAATTTCCAATAGAGTTCAAGTTTTTCTAAGTTTAAAGTGTACAATATCATCAAGGTGAGACACTCAAGATAAAACTAGGCTTGTGTTTAAATATAATAAAAATATTTGAAGAATAGTAAGAGTGGTGACTACTTTTACACAGGAATGTTTCAAATAAATTGTTTTTTTCTTGTGCCTTTTAAATTTTGTGATTTGTCAATGAGATGCTGACATGTTTTTAATGAAGCATGCCTTGTAAAATAATAAGTGAATGAAAACTACACAGTAATATTTACATCAACAAAGCTAGAAGAAGACTGTATGTCTCAAGAGGCTCCATCATCTACCCAGTGGCCACTTCACCAAATTAAGATCCAAATACCAAAAAGAAAAGTAATTAAAATTTGTGTTGTATGCCTTATAAGACCAAACCTATAAAATGAGGGGAAACTTCACAATTACTTGTAATTTGCTCTGTGGAATTGTAACAGATGGATTATAAAGATGATTCCATGATAAACATGTAAATGTGGTTACTACCTTCTGTGCTTTCTTGGTTCATATTTTTATTGTTTTTTTCTTTATAAACAGATAATTTATTCTTATCTATGGCAATGCAAACTTTTCAGATGTATTGAATATGTCATAGTGTTTTTCTATTGTAGGCATCTCTAAAAAAGTTATAGAAAACAAACAGAGAAAAGTCTGGTGTTGGAAAGGAGAGAGAAATAAAGCTTGTAAAGGAATGAAGATTAGAGCTTTCTGGAGATAAAAATTCTTAGAAGATACAAAAGCTAGTTACTGAATTAGATGAAGGTTCTTTTTCAGTTTTTCCCAGTTGTTCACCTCTTAGAAGGCACATATTCACAGCAGAAAAGAAAAATGTGTTAAAAAGAAAATACCTCGGTGTAGTGAGACTGTAATTTCATGAGGGCATTACTGAAGACTCACTTTTTCCAGCATCACTCAGCATGGTATTATGCATGTGTGTAATGTAAAGGAAAGTGAATACGCATTCTTGGATGGGTGATCAAATCGTAATTCCAGAATATAATCAGAAGCTGATTCATTATCCTCTTGAGATTTCACAATCTTTTCATCAGGAATTAAAATTCAGAAGAGGGTAAATGTATCTAATCAGTTGAAAGTTAAAAATTAGAGGATGGAGGCAACATGGCCGAATAGGAACAGCTCCAGTCTACAGCTGCCAGCGTGAGTGATGCAGAAGACAGGTGATATCTGCATTTCCAACTGAGGTACCAGGTTCATCTCACTGGGGAGTGCTGGACAGTGGGTGCAGCGCACCATGCATGAGCCAAAGCAGGGAAAGGCATCACCTCACCTGGGAAGCAGAATGGGTCAGAGAATTCCCTTTCCTAGTCAAAGAAAGGGGTGACAGATGGCACCTGGAAAATCAGGTCACTCCCACCCTAATACTGCGCTTTTCCAACAGGCTTATCAAATGGCACACCAGGAGATTGTATCCAGCACCTGGCTTGGAGGATCCTACACCCACGGAGCCTCGCTGTTTGCTAGCACAGCAGTCTGAGATCAAACTGCAAGGTTACAGTGGGGCTGGGGGAGGGGCGCCCGCCATTGCTCAGGCTTGAGTAAGTAAACAAAGCAGCCAGGAAGTTCGAACTGGGTGGAGCCTAACACAGCTCAAGGAGGCCAGCCTGCCTCTGTAGGCTCCACCTCTGGGGGCAGGACACAGACAAACAAAAGACAGCAATACCCTCTGCAGACTTAAATATCCCTGTCTGACAGCTTTGAAGAGAGTAGTGGTTCTCCCAGCATGCAGCTTGAGATCTGAGAACGGGCAGACAGCCTCCTCAAGTGGGTTCCTGACCCCTGAGTAGCCTAACTGGGAGGCACCCCCCAGTAGAGGCAGACTGACATCTCACATGCCCGGGTACCCCTCTGAGTCAAAACTTTCAGAGGAACGATCAGGCAGCAGCATTTGCAGTTCACCAATATCCACTGTTCTGCAGCCACCGCTGCTGATACCCAGGCAAATAGTGTCTGGAGTAGACCTCCAGTAAACTCCAACAGACCTGCAGCTGAGGGCCCTGACTGTTAGAAGGAAAACTAACAAACAGAAAGGACATCCACACCAAAACCCCATCTGTATGTCACCATCATCAAGGACCAAAGGAAGATAAAACCACAAAGATGGGAAAAAACAGAGTAGAAAACCTGGAAACTCTAAAAATCAGAGTGCCTCTCCTCCTGCAAAGGAATGCAGCTCCTCACCAGCAATGGAACAAAGCTGGACGGAGTATGACTTTGACGAGTTGAGAGAGAAAGGCTTCAGAAGATCAAAGTACTCCGAGCTAAAGGAGGAAGTTCGAACCAGTGGCAAAGAAGTTAAAAACTTTGAAAAAAAATTAGACGAATGGATAACTAGAATAACAAATGCAGAGAAGTCCTTAAAGGACCTGATGGAGCTGAAAACCATGGCACAAGAACTACATGACAAATGCATAAGCCTCAGTAACCGATGTGATCAACTGGAAGAAAGAGTATCAGCGATGGAAAACGAAATGAATGAAATAAAGCATGAAGAGAAGTTTAGAGGAAAAGGAATAGAAGAAATGAACAAAGCCTCCAAGAAATATGGGACTATGTGAAAAGACCAAATGTATGTCTAATTGGTGTACCTGAAAGTGACGGGGAGAATGGAACCAAGTTGGAAAACACTCTGCAGGATATTATCCAGGAGAACTTCCCCAATCTAGTAAGGCAGGCCAACATACAAATTCAGGAAATACAGAGAATGCCACAAAGATACTCCTCGAGAAGAACAACTCCAAGACACATAATTGTCAGATTCACCAAAGTTGAAATGAATGAAAAAATTTTAAAGGCTGCCAAGAGAAAGGTCAGGTTACCCACAAAAGGAAGCCCATCAGACAATCTGCTGATCTCTCCTCAGAAACTCTACAAGCCAGAAGAGAGTGGGGGCCAATATTCAACATTCTTAAAGAAAAGAATTTTCAACCCAGAATTTCATATTCAGCTAAACTAGGCTTCATAAGTGAAGGAGAAATAATATACTCCACAGACAAGCAAATGCTGAGAGATTTTGTCACCACCAGGCCTGCCCTAAAAGAGCTCCTGAAGGAAGCACTAAACATGGAAAGGAACAACTGGTACCAGCCACTGCAAAAACATGCCAAATTGTAAAGACCATCAAGGCTAGGAAGAAACTGCATCAACTAACGAGGAAAATAACCAGCTAACATCATAATGACAGGATCAAATTCACACATAACAATACTAAGCTTAAATGTAAATGGGTTAAATGCTCCAATTAAAAGGCACAGACTGGCAAATTGGATAAAGAGTCAAGACCCATCAGTGTGCTGTATTCAGGAAACCCTTCTCACCTGCAGAGACACACATAGGCTCAAAATAAAGGGATGGAGGAAGATCTACCAAGCAAATGGAAAACAAAAAAAGGCAGGGGTTGCAATCCTAGTCTCTGATAAAACAGACTTTAAACCACCAAAGATCAAAAGAGACAAAGAAGGCCATTACATAATGGTAAAGGGATCAATTCAACAAGAACTAACTATCCTAAATATATATGCACACAATACAGAAGCACCCAGATTCATAAAGCAAGTCCTTAGTGATCTCCAAAGTGACTTAGACGCCCACAAAATAATAATGGGAGACTTTAACACCCCACTGTCAACATTAGACAGATCAACGAGACAGAAAGTTAACAAGGATATACAGGAATTGAACTCAGCTCTGCACCAAGCAGGCCTAATAGACATCTACAGAACTCTCTATCCCAAATCAATGGAATATGTATTCTTTTCAGCACCACACCACACCTATTCCAAAATTGACCACATACTTGGAAGTAAAGCACTCCTCAGCAAATGTAAAAGAACAGAAAGTATAATAAACTGTCTCTCAGACCACAGTGCAATCAAACTACAACTCAGGATTAAGAAACTCACTCGAAACCACTCAACTACATGGAAACTGAACAACCTGCTCCTGAATGACTACTGGGTACATAAGGAAATGAAGGCAGAAATAAAGATGTTCTTTGAAACCAACAAGAACAAAGACACAACATACCGGAACCTCTGGGACACATTCAAAGCAGTGTGAAGAGGGAAATTTACAGCACTAAATGCCCACAAGAGAAAGCAGGAAAGAAATAAAATTGACATCTTAACATCACAATAAAAAGAACTAGAGAAGCAAGAGCAAACACATTCAAAAGCTAGCAGAAGGCAAGAAGTAACTAAGATCAGAGCAGAACTGAAGGAAATAGAGACACAAAAAACCCTTCAAAAAATCAATGAATACAGAAGCTGTTTTTTGAAAAGATCAACAAAATTGACAGACCACTAGCAAGACCAATAAAGAAGAAAAGAGAGAAGAATCAAATAGATGCAATAAAAATTGACAAAGGGGATATCACCACCAATTCCACAGAAATACAAACTACAATCAGAGAATACTATTAACACCTCTACACAAATAAACTAGAAAATCTAGAAGAAATGGATAAATTCCTTGACACATATACTCTCCCAAGACTAAACCAGGAAGAAGTTGAACCTCTGAATAGACAAATAACACTCTCTGAAATTGAGGCAATAATTAATAGCTTACCAACCAAAAAAAGTCCAGGACCAGATGGATTCAAAGCCGAATTCTACCAGTGGTACAAGGAGGAACTGGTACAATTCCTTCTGAAACTATTCCAATCAATAGAAAAAGAAGGAATCCTCCCTAACTCATTTTATGAGGCCAGCATCATCCTGATACCAAAGCCTGGCAGAGACAAAACAAAAAAAGGAGAATTTTAAACCAATATCCTTGATGAACATTGATGCAAAAATCCTCAATAAAATACTGGCAAACCAAATCCAGCAACACATAAAAAAGCTTATCCACCATGATCAAGCGGGTTTCATCCCTGGGATGCAAGGCTGGTTCAACATATGAAAATCGGTCAATGTAATCCAGCGTATAAACAGGACCAAAGACAAAAAACACATGATTATCTCAATAGATGCAGAAAAGGCCTTTGACAAAATTCAGCAAACCTTCATGCTAAAAACTCTCAATAAATTAGGGATTGATAGGATGTATCTCAAAATAATAAGAGCTATCTATGACAAACCCACAGCCAATATCATACTGAATGGGCAAAAACTGGAAGCATTCCCTTTGAAAACTGGCACAAGATAGGGATGCCCTCTCTCACCACTCCTATTCAACATAGTGTTGGAAGTTCTGGCCAGGGCAATCAGGAAGGAGAAGGAAATAAAGGGCATTCAATTAGGAAAAGAGGAAGTCAAATTGTCCCTGTTTGCAGATGACATGACTGTGTATGTGGAAAACCCCATCGTCTCAGCCCAAAATCTCCTTAAGCTAATAAGCAACTTCAGCAATGTCTCAGGATACAAAATCAATGTGCAAAAATCACAAGCATTCTTATACACCAATAACAGACAAACAGGGAGCCAAATCATGAGTGAACTCCCATTCACAATTGCTTCAAAGAAAATAAAATACCTAGGAATACCACTTACAAGGGAAGTGAAGGATCTCTTCAAGGAGAACTACAAACAACTGCTTAATGAAATAAAAAAGGATACAAACAAATGGAAGAACATGCCATGCTCATGGGTAGGAAGAATCAATATCGTGAAAATGGCCATACTGCCCAAGGTAATTTATAGATTCAATTCCATCTCCATCAAGCTACCAATGACTTTCTTCACAGAATTGGAAAAAAACTACTTTAAAGTTCATATGGAACCAAAAAGAGCCCACATTGCCAAGTCAATCCTAAGCCAAAAGAACAAAGGTGGAGGCATCATGCTACCTGACTTCAAACTATACTACAAGGCTACAGTAACCAAAACAGCATAGTACTAGTACCAAAACAGAGATATAGACGAATGGAACAGGACAGAGCCCTCAAAAATAATGCCACATATCTACAACTATCTGATCTTTGACAAACCTGACAAAAACAAGAACTAGGGAAAGGATACCCTATTTAATAAATGGTGCTGGGAAAACTGGCTAGCCATATGTAGAAAGCTGAAACTGGATCCCTTCCTTACACCTTATACAGAAATTAATTCACGATGGATTAAAGACTTACTTGTTAGACCTAAAACCATAAAAACCCTAGAAGAAAAACCAGGCAATACCATTCAGGACATAGGCATGGGCAGAGACTTCATGTCTAAAACACCAAAAGCAATGGCAACAAAAGCCAAAATTGACAAATGGGATCTAATTAAACTAAGGAGGTTCTGCACAGCAAAAGAAACCACCATCAGAGTGAACAGGCCACCTACAGTATGGGAGAAAAGTTTTGCGACCTCCTTATCTGACAAAGGGCTAATATCCAGAATCTACAATGAACTCAAACAAATTCACAAGAAAAAAACAAACAACCCCATCAAAATGTGGGCAAAGGAAATGAACAGACACTTCTCAAAAGAAGACATTTTGCAGCCAAAAGACACATGAAAAAATGCTCATCATCACTGGCCATCAGAGAAATGCATATCAAAACCACAATGAGATACCATCTCACACCAGTTAGAATGGCCATCATTAAAAAGTCAGGAAACAACAGGTGCTGGAGAGGATGTGGAGAAATAGGAACACTTTTACACTGTTGGTGGGACTGTAAACTAGTTCAACCATTGTGGAACTCGGTGTGGTGATTCCTCAGGGATCTAGAACTAGAAATACCATTTGACCCAGCCATCCCATTGCTGGGTATATACCCAAAGGATTAAAATCATGCTGCTATAAAGACACAAGCACATGTATGTTTATTGTGGCACTATTCACAATAGCAAAGACTTGGAGCCAACACAAATGTCCAACAATGATACATTGGATTAAGAAAACGTGGCACATATAAAACATGGAATACCATGCAGCCATAAAAAATGTTGAGTTCATGTCCCTTGTAGGGACATGGATGAAGCTAGAAACCATCATTCTCAGCAAACTATTGCAAGGAAAAAAACCAAACACCACATGTTCTCACTCATAGGTGGGAATTGAACAATGAGAAAACATGGATGCAGGAAGGGGAACATCACACACTGGGGACAGTTGTGGGGTGGGGGAAGGGGGGAAGGATAGCATTAGGAGATATACCTAATGTTAAATGACGAGTTAATGGGTACAGCACACCAACATGGCCCATGTATACATATCTAACAAACCTGCACATTGTGCACATGTACCCTAAAACTTAAAATATAATAATAAAAAAAATTAACAGGAGACTTTTATACAGATAAATTTGCTTTGCATCATGATCAGCACTAAAGAGCATCATAGATTTAAACCATATTTTCACAGTTAAAACAATGTAACCAAATATGCAATATATTATGTAACATTCTACAAGATGTTTTCAAACATGCAAACTGACCTTTAAAACAATTTTGCATAAAATAACATTTCTAGGTAAGAGAAAATACAGACATGTGGTTAGGGCAAAATATTTCTGTTCAAATTACAAAATACTGAATGACAAATCACAGGATAGAAAAGAATTATATTGTACCTGGAATTTGAAGTCTTCAAATTTATTTAGGTATATGTATCTATATGTATTAATAGAGACATATTTAACTGATTATAAGTTTAGAACATTTATATTTTAAAGATGTCATTCTTTAAAAATTATTAATATCTACAGGATTGATACAGATATTTTAATTTTAAACAAATATTTTTCACTAATGTGACCAGCATTTATGTCCTATTTCATTAAACAGACATTTCAAGATTTTTTAGAGTTAATTTTTAAAAATTAAGTATCACAAATATTTCTGAAGTACTACCTTAAAAAATAAAACTCTTTCCTAGCTTTTCATATAGTTAAACATTTTCATAATGACTAAAAAGATAAAAATAAATTAGCAACCATAATTAAATTAGAATTCTACTTTTTATATCAGATGAAATACTACATAAAATGTCCAGAAAATCTAGTGTTAATGAGGCTGTGCAGCCTGGACATTTGATGTCTCATCTGTGGGAATGTGAACTAACCCAACCATTCTGAATAATTATTGACTCTGTGTGTTAACAGTCTAGAGTCCTGAAACAAGGATCTTAATTCTAAAATAAAATCCTATTCTAAGAATATACCAAGGGTTGATAATCAAGGAAGTTTCAAAGTTATAGAGAAGAACCTTCATCCTAGCATTATATATGTAATCATCCATATAAACCACATAGTGTTGAATGAAATTACAGAAAAACAAAGAGCCTACAGAATATGTTTCTCTTTGTGTACAACAGTAAATGTACACATCTATCCATGTAAAATTTTACATCTCAGGAAGATAGGTACCAACATGTTAACATGCTATATCTATAAGATAAGAAATTTTACTTTCCTACAATTTCATACACACACACACACACACACTCTCAAACATACATACCCACACACCGAGGATATATACACACACAAATATATATATAAACATACATGTTTATATAGGTACACACACACATACATATACACAGATGGTCAACAAATTATAATGGTTCAATTTATGATTTATTTACTTTATGATGAAGCAAAAGTGATAGCTTTGAATAGAATATAACCATTCTGCTTTTCACTTTCAGTACAATATTCAACAAATTACATAAAATATCCAAAACTTTATTATAAAGTGGGTTTTGTATTCAATGATTTTGCCCAATTGTCAGCTGATGTAAGTGTTCTGAGCACATTAAAGGTATGCCAGGCTAAGCTGTGATATTCAGTAAGTTAGGTATTAAATACATTTTTAACTTACTGTATTTTCAATTTATAATCAGCTTATCAAGACTTAACCCCATTGTACATTGAAAAGCATTTGTATTGCATTAAACATGTTATATATATTTTTAATTGAAATTACTGGCAACTTTTGAAAAAATGTAATGAAATAATGTGCTTTGCTATTGGTTAAAATGTTTTTGGGCAGGGTCAGTGGCTTACACCTGTAATCCCAGCACTTTGGTAGGCTGAGGTGGGCAGATCGCTTGAGGTCAGGAGTTTGAGACCAACCTGGCAAACAGGGTGAAACCCCATCTCTACTAAAAATACAAAAATCATCTGAGTGTGGTGGCATGTGCCTGTAATCCCAGCTACTAGGGAGGCTGAGGTGTGAGAATTGCTTGAACTAGGCAAGCAGAGGTTGCAGTGAGCCAAGATCATGCCACTGCACTCCAGCCTGGGCAACTGAGTAAGATTCTGTCAAAAAAAAAAAAAAAAAGAAGGAAAGAAAAGAAAAAAAGTTTTCAGCTTCAAGTAACAGAATAGTCAACTAATTAAAGAAAAAAACAAGGAGCAACTTTTACCAAATCGCACAACAAATAGATGGTATCAATGCTTACTTAATTCAACATGATCCACTTTGTGATTCTCTTATCTTTCTACCTATGTTTTCAAGATGGCTATGGCATTCCCAGCCTTACAACTTCATGTGACAAAATCCAATGGCAGGAAATAATAAGTGACGGCATTTTGGAACTTTAAGGAAAAACTTTAAGGATTGGAAAACAGGGATGCCATATGTCCAGTAACATGGGATAGCCGTTCCTAATTAAGGATTGCTGTATGTCCTGAATGACTTTCTAATGTAATGAAGGTGAATAACCTGCTTTGTTTAATTATACAATCCCAAATGTAACTGCCTAAGTGCCAAGTACTTTTGCATGGTTTTAATATGCCATGAATTTTGCAAGAATGAAACTACTATGTATATGAGAAAAGATGGTAGATTTTTTCATTTAGATACTCATTTCAGAGTCTCAATAGGAAAAATAGAACACACACAAACTAAGATAATTTAACATGGGTTTATTTCCAAAGAGACTACTTACGAAAATGTCAGCGGAGAAGGGTGAAGGAATCACAGAAATCACACCCCACAATAACTCTGGGTTAGTAGCAGCAGGCAGAGTTCTGGGGAGTAAACTTCCCTGATCATGCAAGGAAACACTAATTTTCTTATGAAAAAGATTGGTCAAGGAGACCTAGCAGAGAGGGAGTTTAGGCAATAACCCCCAATCCCATTTCCTCCTTCCCTTTAATCTCATGAACATGCATAGAAGGCAATGAGCAAGGGAACAGATTGAGATATTCAATATGGACCATTCCACTTGGACAAAAGCCAGTAAATAGGGGAGTATAACAGGGGACAAGGGCCAAACAGAAAGTATCTATTACATTTACCAATGCAGATCAATCATGTCAAAAACAGAAATGGCAGTTTTGGCATTTGGTTATTCAATGAAACTATATTTGTAGCTTTTTATTTACAATGTTTCAAGGTATGGGCGAAGATATGAAAATTTCATTATGTTCTATTTTATTTGATATGTAAATGTTCTGGCACAATTATATACATTTTGGATCATATATTGACAGTAAATTATTTCTCCTTTGTTAGCTTCAGCATAACATTAATATTTTCAACAACTTGAATGCATACATTGTGTTCTCACTAATAGTTTAGAATAGTGAAGGGGTCTTTGAAGAATTTCTTATGAAGTAGAGGCATTGGGTCAGACAGAGCCGAAAACCATTGGCTTAGATTAATCACTATTTATCCTAGGGCTGAAGAGGGCCAATTGAAGACACAAATGTCCAATCCCTTTATGACCTTGGAGTTCTATGAACCAGAGAAATAGAGACTGGTTCTTAAGGAGGTAATAAGTGTGCCTTCTATGGTTTATAATAATATGCATTGTCTTAACAATCGAATACTTAAAAGTTAATGCCCTCATAATATGCAAAATTTTTAATAAGCACATTGGTCCCTGTGTTCAAGTAGTTGGTAATCAAATTAGCGAAGTATGGTAAGTCTTTTGAAGAGCATTAAACAGCAGAGAATGTAAGAAATTTGTCTCTATAATAGTGTGGGCCTTCTGTGTTTCCTAAGGGCACATTCATATGATCTAATAACTGAGCAGAGAGAAGCCTAAGGGATAGTTTTTGGTTTCATTTGTTTGTTTTTCCAATTAACATACATTTCTAGATTAAAGGTCAACTATCTTTTCCTTGGGAGTCAACTATAGGAGAAGATAGTGAAGAGGCAAGGAAAATTACAGCAGCTCAACAGCTTTACCCTGGAAATATCTGTATTGTGTACCGCTATAGCCTACCTTTATCAGTCAGATAACAATGTCAAAGAGGCAAGCTTGGCACCATTGCTCTTAGTGAATCCCTGCTGCCAGCCTTTTATCCTAAGTGCTCTCCAAAGACCCATTTAATGGACCTTCCTGAAATTGTGCTCAGGATCAATATGAGGCTCATTGATACAGCATTTTTGGAACTCACCATTTGCTTATTTATTAAACCTGGGATAGTTGCCCGACTTCTATCATCTGAAATCCTCTCCATGACTTTCAAAGTTACCAACATTGGTTCCAACATCATTCCTAGAAAACATTTCAGTGGAGTATATTTATCTGACATTTGACTGTATTTATAGCAGTAAGAATCTATGGTGATTCCTCCCAAAATAATCCCACAATTACACATTTTGGGTCACCTTGAGGGTCTTATCCTTAATATCAGAGATCTGTTCTATACATTTGAGTCTTAGAAATAATTACTAGCTTCTCTCTGAATTTAACTGAGGTTCCTTACTTTTATTCAGCCTGTTACCTAAATTACATAATGTATTGAAGGCTATAAACTGTCCAAATTTCTGATTACATTGAGTTAAAAATGGGAATATGACTTTCTTTTTCTAACTTGGCAAAGATTATGTTTTTTTCATGAAGAAATATAGGCATATTTAAACACTCAGGATCTGAGAATTTGAAATACATGAAACTTAGCAAGTGGTCTTTAAGTAGTTTTCATTTCTAAATTATAGTACATACCATTGAATGCTACAGAAGGAAAGACAATGAGGGATTACTCATAAACATTGCCTTTATGATATCCTTCCAAAGAAAACCAAGTGTCCCTGTGCTTGGACTCATAAAGCAGAAATGCTTACCTTGCTTTTATGTCACTAACAAACAATTGTGCCTAGTCATTTAATTCTAACGCATTTAAGCCATCTAGAGAGTGGAGCCCCTAGGGAAAACTACAAATGGAAAATTCATTGATTTTTGATTTTGCTTTCCTATGGATTAAATTTAACACTTTCTTGTAAATCTCTCCCTTTACAGATCATATGTGATAAATAGTTATCCAACTTTCTAGATGTCCACCCAGAGCTGCTTCCATATGAAGAGGTGGAAACGGATTCTGTGCATGATACTGGTTAGGATCGGGAACTGTTTTTTTTTAAAGGAGATTTTTAAAATTTGTTTTCCTTGTACACATAGCCTTAATATTGTGTTGCTAACTGCCCTCTGGGAACAAAGTCATACCAATCACAAATACATTGCCTAAAGTGGGATGGTTATTACTCTGCTGTGAATTGCACCTCCTATTATGTTTTAAAGATGCTACAAACTTGAGACATTACTATGTAGATGACATTCCCAGCAAATCCCCAAACAACACTTAATGAGATTTCAAATACCAGGATCATGAAACAGTAAGAGATATAAGGAAATAAAGAAAAACACAGTATATGTGTAGAAGGCATTAAAACACAAATTTTATAATTACGAATGCATATAATAAGGAATAAGTTTTATTCTAAATAGCAATTATATCAGAACTACGATACAGGGAATAAAAGTGAATATTAAGCCATTGTACCAACAATAACAGAGCCCCTTTTCTGCTGCGTGATGGAATTTAGTGTTTACTAAGGAAGAAAAAAATGCAAGATATCTTAAATTTGGTACTTTCCAACAAATTTAAGAAATGTGTACACACTTGAGGAGACTTAAGAAGTCTCTGACTAAAACACTAGAAAAGAAAAGCAGTGAAAAACCAAATAAGTATTACTCAACAATAACAACATTTGTTACTATTATATTAATATTAAACACACTATTAAGCAACAACATTTCAGTTACTCACTGAGCCCAAAGTCATTTTTCATGAACCATTCACAACACTGATAACCTATTGAAAAATGATTGAAAACAAAAAAGCTTATTTCTTTCCAAGTCCTTTTAAAGCCTTCTCATGTGTCATTTCATATAATCCTTATAACAAATCTATGGAGTATATACTGACTTTATCTCTGTACAGAAAAGAAAACTGAATCACATTCAGAATAAGTTGCAAAGATCCCCAGATAATCAGTGTCATAGGTGAAATATGATGTCACAGTGTACTCAAGAGTAATTTAGGGAAGCAGTACAAATGATGGTTGAAAGCACAGGTTCTGGGGTAAATAGCCTGAAGTCAAAATCTAGTTCATATCCTCAGTGGCTGTGTGATCTTGGGAAATTTCCCTTAACTCTCTGTGTCTTGATTTTATAGTTTCATCCATTTTTGCCTCTCATATGATCTGGTGAGCGTTACACTAGTTTATGCTTCTAGGACACTGAAAACAGTGCCTGGCTCTTGATAAATATTAACAATTTTGTTTCATTTTCTTCACCTTGAGTATTTCATGGCCAGATGGAAATCAATGTCAATATGAAAAAATGTTCATAATTCAGCAGGAAGAAATACAAAACCATATAAACAACTTTGTTTTATTGGCAAGTGTATTTGGAAGCTATGTTAAATTGAGAAGGGGAAGGGAAAGCCTCTAAGGATATCGATTAATCAATGACTGAAAGCTGATGAGACTTGTCTGGAATTTTTTTTTTGGAGACTCTGAGACTTAAAATTTTGACAAAATAAGGAGATGAATTGAGTAGTGTGGAAGAGACATTTTCTGAAGTCAGCAGAGAAAGGAGAGACAAATATGGTAAGGGGAAAATGGTATGAAGTAATAATATGAATGAAGTGCTTTCTAAAGTATAACACATGTAAGTTGTGTTAAATGTAAACTATCATGATTATATCATTACTGTCTGACTGATACAACTATATCCACCTCAGTTAGCCACATAAGATCAATTTTCCTATATCTTAGAGAATACCAGTAACCTCCAGTTCAGAAACAGCATAAATATCTATCCACAGCTGAGCAGACACATACAGCTAGCTACCAGATGAAATGGGCTATATCTTCAAATACTATTGTTTTCCATTTTTTAACTGTGGCAAAACACACTCAACAATTTGCATCTTAACCACTGTTAAGTATACAATTCAGTGTCATTAAATGTATTCACAATGTTGTGCAAGCATCACCACCACCCATCTCCATAATTCTTTTTGTCTTGTAAAATTGAAATCCTGTACCCATTAAAAAGTGACTCCCCATTCCCCGCCCTCCCAGGGCAACTACAGCTTTACTTTCTGTCTTGATGAATCATACAATATCAAATGGAATTTTTAAGATATTTAAAATCTTTTGTCTGGAAGCGAAGTGGAAGTTAATATCAATGGCTATGCCTTCAGTGAGTTCTCAGACCACATTGCAATGTAGTTAACTATTTATCTTTTATTACGTTCTAGACCTATTATTTCTTTCTGGCACAAAAATATCTTCTTTGTAGATTATGGCATTTACCTCTATCTCCACACCTTTCTGCGTCTGTCATCCACAGATCATCAGCCTCTTGCTTAGTCTCCATTTAATGACAATTTCTATTTAGTATACAAGAGTCCTTCCCCCCGCAATGCAATTTCTTCACTCTGAAAAGCTCTGACTCTGGCTACTGGTCTCTGTTATGTACTCATCCCTAGAGCCATGTCTTCAAATATTTCTCAGAACTTCTTCACATCTAAAAATCTAGGATTAATGTATTGCTCTCTGATTATATTCTTCTGGTATTTCAAGTATCCTGTATAACTTCTTCATCTGCCCTTGCTTTTCTTCTACATCAAGATGTCAAGTTCATGGACTTCCCAATTAATCATTTTAAAAATTTATTTCAAGCCTTTATGAGTCACTACAATGTACATATGTTCTCAGGAATTATGACCCTACAATTTGTATATGAGAATAGTTCCTGTGTCAGGCATTATGGACATAAGAGTAAATAAATTCTAGCCCCTGCCTACAAGGAGCTAATTCCCAGCCTAAGACAGATTGTAAGCCAATAATATGTAGAGTTGTAAGTCTAAGGAAACTGATTGGGATGTACCTAATTCGAGCTGGGAATATCAGAAGAAAAACTTTTTGAAAGTCATGAGACATGAGCTGTGCCTAAAAGAATAAAAATAGAGTGAGAAATAAGAATAAATAAATTAGGGAATGAGATGGGTATAATAGTAGAAAAAGGAAATCTCTTTAGATAAAACAGGTTATGAGAGTATATAGGAGGCTTATTAACTCAGTGTGGTTGGAGAAAACAGGTTGAAAGGAGAAATAGGGGAGAAAGTTACAAAGGGAATCAAATGTGTTAGTAGTTGAGGGAAAAGCAAATATTGAATACGACCCATAGATCTTGGATAACCCAGTGTTTGGTAGTAGCTTACATAAAAGGTTGTGACAAAATAACCAGAGATATGTGGAGAAAATAATAACTGAGTGTTATATTTCCTCTCAGTAGAAACCTAAAAAAAAAAATGTAATCACATACTGATCTTTTAACTGACCTCCACTTATCTTGCTGCCTGGATTGGTATATATAGTCCTCTGCCTGAAAAATTGCTCAACACTTTTGAAAGGTTGTTTCTCACTGTTACTCCCAGGCATTTCTGCTAACACCAGCTGAGTTGTAAGGGGCCCTCCAGGAGGCCTAGGTTGTTCTCCTTATCACATATATTATTTTCATTTATCAATTTACCCAGAACATCTAATGAAATATTATGGACACCAATAACATGAATACAAATACAGCTATAGTCCCTAAAAAGTAAATTGATGTCTCTTGAAAGACTGTCATGTCTTAGATGCTAAATTTGGAGTATGTGTTTCTAATAAATAAATAGCTTGCTTTAATAATTCTGATTTATGAATGTAATATAGGGGAGCAGCTTTTATTTCATCCTTAATCTTAAAAAACAATTAGCCGGGTGTGGTGGCGGGCACCTGTAGTCCCAGCTACTCAGGAGGCTGAAGCAGAAGGATGGTGTGCACCTGGGAGGCGGAGCTTGCTGTAAGCCAAAATTGTGCCACTGCACTCCAGCCTGAGTGACAGTGTGAGACTCTGTCTCAAAAAAAAAAAAAGATCATACAAGGAGTAAATGATGATTTAGCATAAAACACAACTTGAGCCTAAAACACAGATCATAGGGCTCAAACTTTGTTATTTTATGGGATTATACTAACCAGTTAATATTCAAAATTTACCATTTCAAAAGAAGAAATATTGGTCTGGGAAAATTGCCATTGCTTATACAGAAGAATGGAGGAATCTTTTTGAGAACAACAATTCTAATGATCTTCTTCATCACTGGTTCCAAAACCAAGCCCATGGAAGGCCTGCATAGGGATAATGTGGAGAACATGCAAAAGAAATACACATCACCAGCTCCTCAACTCAGAGCTCCAAGGGAATGGCCAAGGAAGCTGTATTGTCCTAAGAAATTTGAGACTGTTTTGACTTACAATAAATCCTGCTCAATCATATGTATGTATACACACACACACACACACACACACACACACACACAGACGGTGTTGTCAGTGAAGCCTCTAACATTGCATCTTGACTGGACAGATTTGACAATTAAAATGGCTGGAAGAAAATAGGCTTCATAAGTGTCACTTACTATTCACATTACACATTAAAAGGACATCTCCTAAATTAAATCTTGTCTATGATAAAAAGGCAGAAAATCATGACCCAAGGCTCATTTATAACTGCAGAAATGTTCAAGATAGACCAATGCTTGCTATGTTTAGGAAGTGACAAGAAAGTACAGGTCTTTATAATCTACCATTTTGCCCCTTTTGATACCAGGTGCCCTTCATAATGCAGGCTATAGAGAATTACAAGATTTGTCAGAGATTTCAGGTCTTTGGAAAGCTATGCTCTTTCACAAGAACAGCCATGGAAACAGGAAGAAAGTCAATTCCCACTTAAGGTAATCAGAATTTACAAATATTCCTTTCTTCATTGAAATCTCAATAGGCACTTCGATATTATATTTAATTAATTCTTTTGTTACAATCATGCATCACATAACAACATTTTGGTCAAGGATAGTGCACTTGTATGACAGTGGTGCAATAAAATCATAACACTGTATTTGTACTGTACCTCTTGTATGTTTAGACATGTATAGATACACTTACTGTATAGATATAAGTAAGTATAGATATACTTAACTGTTGTGTTACAATTGCCTACAGTATTCAGTACAGTAATATGCTGCACAGTTTTGTAGCCTAGGAGGAATAGGCTATACCACCTAACCTAGGTATGTAATCAGCTATAGCATCTAGGTTTGTGTAAGTAAACTCTGTGATGTTCATACAATAATAAAATTGTCCAGCAATGCATTTCTCAGACACACCCCTGTCATTAAGTGACACATGACTGTATTAGTTAACACTATGGGAACTTCATGGGAAATGGACACTCTAGCTCCACCATAAATAGAAACTGTTTATGTCAAAAAACACATAAAAGCATAGTTGCAAGATTACAATTCCTTCCAGATATTTCATTTAGTATCTCCACAGATCACTAACTTCCTGAATAGCATTCTTCTGTCTCCACTGCCTCACATTTGATTTCAGGTCATTCCATCAATTGTCAAAGACGCATCCAACATTAACTTTCCAACTACTGGTTTGGATTGTGTCAACATTGTCATTCTGGGCCACAACAACACAAAAGGCTAACTCAGTGAGGTAACATAGACACTGATCAGTGAGATTTTGCTGATGGGTGGTACCATTTTTTACCAAGATCAAGGGTATTCATACCTTCAGGCATCTAGATAACATTGAAAAGGGCAGGTTCATAGATAAAAAGGGAAAGAGGAAGGGTTTTTGCAGTATATATGAGCTACCATGTCTCCTGTTTAACCTGAGTCTGAAGAGATTCAAAGTGCAGGTGCCATGAATGCCTCTTTAATAGCTCCATGTCGATTGATTTTCTGGGCTACACTTCACAGCATTCAAATTGCTAAATGCATATAAACTACTAGTGGATATTTATTACCTGGATTTGTGCTTCTGAGTGACCTTATCTATAGTTATGTGCTTCAGTGATCCAACTTGGGGTGCACTCCAAACTTTGATAAATTAAAGACCCTGCATATTCCTTGAGTAATGCTACACTGACAACTGATTTAGTGAATGCCACTGTGAAAATAATAAACCTCTTGGTGAATATATTTAGACATGTCTTGGAACCTGTACACATCTTAACCAGGGATGTTACTTGGTCTTTTTATGTTCAGGAGTGTCTGGAGATAGAAAAACATACAGGATTGTAATTGTTGCCTGTGAGACTAACAGAAAATTCAAGCTAGTGAAGTATGCTTATGCATGGCACACTTCTCACCAGCAATTTTAGGAAGTTCTACCCACAACCCATATGTCTTTTGATATGTGGGTTACCTTGGAGAGAGAAAAAGAAACTCTGAACACAAGCATGAAATACTTTCGAATTTTATCTAGAGTTGGACTTGTCCAAAAGCTTTTGTATAAACTTGCTTGATGAGGAACTGTTGTCCACTGGTACCTTCACCGTACAATCCACACACAACCAAACTTCACAACTGGACACCTAAATTTGCACTTTGTTTGGTAAAGTTGAATGAAAAATGTTGTCTTTTAAGCTTATGTTCTCTTATGAAAGCTGTTATTAGATTAATTTTACTCCAAGATATGCCAGTTAGGAAATAACTTCCCATTTAATTTCACCAGCTCCCTGTGGGTGGACTAATTACTCATACATCACACTTACTCTGGTGGTGAAATGCCTCAAAAGAAGGTCTCCAGAGTGTTGCTTTACCTAGAAGGACAAGAATGAAGAGACATAAAAATCATTCATTAAGAAGGAAGAAGATTTTCCTTGCCTAGATTTTCACTTGTAGGATGCAATTAATTTTATCACTTAATATTTTGTCATGGTGGGCATTCACTTTACAAATTTGTAAGGTCAGTAGAAATGGAAACTTTTGGAAATCAAACTGTAAATGTTCTGTAGACGTTGACAGAAATAGCTATTTGGAGCTGCGCTTTTGCCAACTAGACACTCTGAGAAAATCTGTGACAGGATATTTTCAGGAAGTCATTGAACCCCCTAAAAATCAAGTTTATTGCTTTTACCATAAATATAAATAATTTATTTACTATCAACCACTTTCAATATTCGAATAAGTAACTTTATTGTTTATTTCATTGACATGATCTACATAGACATGCAATTTATCTTCTTTTGCGATACATTCAGAAAATTTGCTGCCTGAAAAAGCCATGTTTTGAAATTACCACCTGTTTGATGATTTTTTTTTTATACTTTAAGTTTTAGGGCACATGTGCACAACGTGCAGTTTAGTTACATATGTATACATGTGCCATGTTGGTGTGCTGCACCCATTAACTCGTCATTTAGCATTAGGTATATCTCCTAATGCTATCCCTACCCCCTCCCCCCACCCCGCAACAGGCCCTGGTGTGTGATGTTCCCCTCCCTGTGTGCATGGGTTCTCATTGTTCAATTCCCACCTATGAGTGAGAACATGCAGTGTTTCATTTCCACTTAAGTATCTATCTCTATTTGTCCTTTATTTTCACTTCCATCCTAGCTCTATCCCTTGTCTCCTTCGTGTGTCTCAGGATAAGTGCCCTATAACATTTTATACTTCTGGAAACCCTTCAATATAATGTTATTACATGTAAAAATAAAAAGTCTGTTTTAGCGAACTCTTTCTTCACAAATTATCTTTTCCTAGTTCCCTATTAGACAATTTTTGTAGGCTCCATATGCTATTAATTTATATTCACTTTTAGAAGAATTTTCATCAAAAGCAAAAGTCTTATGTAAATTGTTTATATGCTATTTGTACTTCTGTGTATATATACACGCATAGCCACATACATATATGTAACTCCAGAGGCCTGCCTGGACTGTTAAATAACTGTATTGAACAAGAGCAAGAAAAAGCTTTTCAAATTTCAAACAACAAGTTGAACTGAAGAGCTCACATCTTTGAATGAAATAGACACTAGTAGCCTTTAAAAATTAAACATTTCTACTGTTTTAAAAAATTATAGGCATCATAGTATGAGGAAAAAATGTAATAATCCTTTTTAATTCTTGCCATTTTATTAACCACGGACTCCTTATGCCCTGACTTCATTGGTACCCCTTTGAGATTAAACAGAACAATTAATTTAAAATTCTGATAAATAAATAAATTACACCATTTACTTGAGGTACTCTTTCACCTTTCAAGAAATATTTTGAGAATTCATTAGCTAAATATTGCTATAATGCAGGCTAGTAATAAATAGAAATAATGATTTCATTGTAAAGTTTAAACTAATGATGGTATGATCTGGAATTTTTGTTAACCTAGAAGACATAATTAGCTCTACAGGTGAAATGAAAGACAAAATCACTTCACATATTAGTAAAAAACAAATAATATAACTTTATAAGCTACTGCTGTTCTTTTGCTGTTAAGAACCAATGACATCTGTAATTAGGGAAGATTATGGAAAGGTTAAAGGTGAGAATACATGCAGTCTATATACAGGAAACCCAAACTGTTTAGGTTAAGGAAATGTCTGCAAAAGTCATATTAATTAGCAGGTTCACAGGAAACTAACATTTATTGTATAAATTCCATGGTCAAATGTATTAGGGCTCCACGCACACAACTGTGCGCCATCTATGTTACCACACAGTGCTTACTTCTTTCAGTCTTTATTCATTTCTCTCCTAATGGTCTGTATGGTATTATTACATAGTTCTAAAAACCTTCCATGAGGCAGAAATTTCATTTAATGATACAGCTTCAAAAATAATGAAAACCAGTAGAAACTTTCTATTTTTTTATGAAGCAGAATTATTGAATTTTCAGTTTCATTTATTTAATGTTACAAGAGGACAAACATATTTCTTTAATTTCTTCTTGTTATTTTTGTCTAACATCAACCAAAGCCATTTCTTTCATTTGAAGGTGAAAACTGCCCATCAAAATCCAGTTTAAGCTGAGAAACAAAGAACTAAATTTTGCATGAGACATTATACACTGCATAAATATAAAACAGGACCAGAAACAATGGTAGATTAGCAATTTTTAAAAAGACAAAAGCAGGTTATCATCAAATCAATTGTTACCAACACCCCAATTCCACCTCTAGGCCAGAAAATTAGCCACTTACCCACGGGAAAACAATGATTGAAGACAAAGTTCACCAGTGAAAGTTGGTTATTTTTTTCCATCCTTGCATCAACTAAAATGATATCTACACTTCCTCTTAACACTTTTCTTACTTTCAAATATGTGGGTATGCTTCATTAGCTGAGGCCATGTTCCATATGTACATCTGGCTACAAGGGAAACTGGGAATGTGAGCCCTGATCCTAATGTTTGTAGAGTATTTAGAAGTTTGAGAATTCCCTCCAAATAAAGAGTTTTCTAAAACATTGTTAGACAAAAAGTTAGCTCAGGTCTAAACCAAATGCAGGGAAAAAACTATTAACTCTAAAAAAATTAAATACACATTTGATGGTAATGAGAAACAGAAAACAGGCAGAAATAGTAGAATACTCCACTAATGATGAAGTATTTGACCATTGAATAAAGAAAATTGCAATGATTTAAATTTGCATCAAGGCAACTTCACACCTGATGACGCTTCCCAGTCTGTGCAAAATTAGATGTCTACGAGTAAAGCGGTGAGTTTTACTAGCTTGAGGAATAAGAGCACAGAGTTCCAGGCTGACAGAAAAGAGGAACTGGGAAATTTGAATGACATGGGAGGACATCTCACACAACTGAAAGTCACAGAGGAGAATATCACAGAGTAAAAATCTAAAATCAGCACTTCAACTTCATTCAAATATATGATGGCTGCTACATTTCACATTCATAAAAGGAGACTCCATAGAATCCAGCAGAAAACAACAGCTAAATTGCTAGTACAGAGCAGAGATTTCAACCATTG
The DNA here is from genome assembly GCF_000001405.40 of Homo sapiens. Taxonomy (NCBI): domain Eukaryota; kingdom Metazoa; phylum Chordata; class Mammalia; order Primates; family Hominidae; genus Homo; species Homo sapiens. Next base: position 12,894,365 of record NC_000022.11, read on the forward strand.
CATATAGCTCAGGAGTGAAAGTTTGGTGTTTGACTACGGAAAGAAGACTAATGTTAGAAAAGAGTCATTCTTCAAAGGAAAATAAACAAACCTATCTCTACAAAATATCATACACATAATCTAACATATAATTTAATCTGCCTAGACATAGAACCAGGAAAATATGACACATAACAAAAAAAGTAAACAATGGATTAAGACATTGAAATGGCCCACACGCTGGAATTAGAATATAAGAAATTTAAAATAAGCTATTATAAGCATATTCAAGGATTTAAGGAATAGATGGTCATAAGAGGGAATATATGGAGAATCTCAACAGAGAAGTAAAAATGATAAAGAGATAATAGGACAAATTTTAGAACTGAGAGACAGAGTATCTTATATAAAAATGTCATTTTATGTACATACCAGTAAATTAAAGATGGCACAAAAAATTATCAGTGCACTTAAAAACAGATCAAGAACAATTTCCCAATACAGTTAATACAAACGAAGAAAAATAATAAAAATAGGGCCAGTCTAGCACTAATATAATTGGAGTCCTAGAAAGAGTAGAGAAGTAAATGAGACAGAAAAAGCTATTTGAAAAAGTAAAGACCAAAAGTTTTCCTAATTGTCAGCATATATCAACTTACAGGTTTAAGAAACTCAAAGAACAGAATAAAAATAAAGAGAACCAAATGTAGACATACCATAGTCAAACCACTGGGCAAAAAAAAGAGTAAATCTTGAAAGTAGCTAAAGGGAGGGAGAAAATAATTTACATCCGTGGAAACAAATAGACAGATGACCTATCATCAGAAATGACACTTTAAAAAGCAATGAAACTACATCTTCAAAAGAAAACTGTCAACTCCAAATTCTATAACTAGATAAAGTAATTCTTGAGAAAAGAAAGATTTATTCAGATAAAAGAAAGCTTCAAACAATTGTCATTAGCAGACCAAGATACAAGAAATGCAAACGGAAATTTTTTAGGCTAAAGAAAGATAACAACAGACGGAAATTCTGACCTACAGGAAGCAAGGAGAAGCTCTAGGAATGGCATGTGCATAAACGTGAAAAACTAAGGCTTTTTTTTTTAGTTTTATAACAAACAACTGATGCTTTGAATAAAAAATTAAGTGTACTATTGATAATGTGTGTAAAATATTCTAAATTAATAGCTCTGACAGGAGACTAAACGCAACAATTTTGCCGCAACTTTTCCTTATGTTACATGAAAACGCTGACTATTAACACTAAGTGGACTGCGATAAGCCCAGGATGTTTATTATAATCCCTAGAGAACCACCACATTATATGAAGATATTCTTCTAAAATGCCAATAAAGGAATTAAAATGGAACGCTGAATATTGTTCAGTTAATATAAAAAGGCATGAAAGAAAGAGGAGCAAAAAATGATGGAGCAAATAGAACATAAGAGCAAAATAGGCTGGGCGCAGTGGCTCAGCCTGTAATCCCAGCACTTTGGGAGGCCGAGGCGGGTGGATCACGAGGTCAGGAGATCGAGACCATCCTGGCTAACACGGTGAAACGCCGTCTCTACTAAAAATACAAAAATTAGCCGGGCATGGCGGCGGGCACCTGTAGTACCAGCTACTCCGGATGCTGAGGCAGGAAAATGGCGTGAACCCAGGAGGCAGAGCTTGCAGTGAGCCGAGATCCCGCCACTGCACTCCAGCCTGGGTGACAGGGCCAGACTCCGTCTCAAAAAAAAAAAAAAAAAAAAAAATAGTAGGCTTAAATCCAACCTTTTCAGTAATTATTTCAAATGTAATTTAAATACTCCAAATAAAACACAGATTGTCAAACTGGATAATAAAAGTACCTATAAGAGATGCATGCCAAATATTATGGTATAGATAAGTTGAGAGTAAAATAATTTCCAAGTATACCAAGGAAACAACAAGGACAAGAAATCTTATGTGGCTATATTAATATAAGAAAAAGTAGACCTCCAAACGAGCAATATTACAACAGACAGCTATTTCATAATGACAAAATGTCAAGTAATTATGAAGACATAATGCTGTATTGCTGACAGAATAACTAAAGAAAATTAAGATAAAATAATTTTGACAACAGCTTGACCTAATCGATATTGACCAAGACAATAGAATATATGTTCTATTATGCTACACATGAAACATTTATCAATAGGCTATAGACCACAAAATATCTCTCAAGAAGTTTCAAAACACTGTAATCATGGAAAGTATGCTTTCTGACCATAATGAAAATGAGTTGAAATGGGTAAAAACAAGCTACCCAGGAAAGTCTACACTATTGGAAGATTTAAATACACCTTAAAATGCCCTTTAGCTCAATGAAGAAATCATAAGAAACACCTTTAAATACATTGAACTGAATACAAATAAAAATATACTATATCAAAAGGTATGGGATAAAGTTAAGCAGACCCAGAGTAAATTTTTTGTATAAATGCTTATTCTAGAAAAGAGAAGTTCAAAACAAGTGAACTAATTTCTACCTTAAAAAGAAAATCTAAAACAAGAGAGCAAATTAAGTCCAAAACAAGTAGAGGAAAGGAAATAAAACAGAAATTAGAAATCAATGAGACAGAAAACAGAAACAGGAGAAAATCAACATGGCCAAAAGTTAGTTCTGTGAGAAAGAAAGAAAACGCAAATTATACATATCAGGGATTAATGAGATTGTACAGTTGTAGACACAAGAGACTTTAACAAGATAATGGAATATTGTGAAACATTATATACAAATTTTCATTACTTGGATGAAAGGGTGACTTCCTTGAAAAAAACTTATAAAAAATTTCACAAGATTTAATGGAACATAGGAAGTAATTGACATTTATTAAAGTAATTAAATTAATTGTAAAATACCTGCACATAAAAACATAAAATTAAATAAATAAAAAAATAAGCAAACCCCAGATCTAAAGAATTTCACTGGTGAATTCTTTCAAACGTTTTAAAAAAATAAAATTTTTAAATTATTTCAGAAATAAAGAAGGGGGAAATTCCAAACTTGTTTTATGAGTCAGAATCCTGATACCAAAATTACAAAACCTAGGAATGCAAAATTGACTTCAACTTAAAGAGCTATCACCATTCTAATCTGTGATTCTAATGAATTTGGCTATCTTAGATACTTTATACAAGTGGAATCATACAGTTTGTCCTTCTGTGACTGATTTACTTTACTTAGCATTAATGTCCTCTAGGTTCATCCATGTTGCATATTGATGGGCTTTCTTGTTTTAAAGCTGAATAATATTCCGTTGTATGAATATACCACATTTTCTTTATCTTTTCATCTGCCAATAGACATTAACCTTATTCCCACATTTTAATTAGTGTAAATAATGCTGCAATGAGCCTGAGAATCATCCCAATCTCCATTCTTTCAGATAAATAACCTGAAGTGAGACTACTAGATCATATGCTAGTTCTACTTTCTTAATTTATTTGAGGAACCACCGTACTGTTTTCCATAGAGGATGCACAGTTTTACTTTCCCAGAAACACTGTAGAAGTGTTCCAATTTCTCCCCATTGTTAACACTCGTTATCTTTTTCTTTTAATAAGACCATTCTAAAGGGCTTGAGGCAATATCTCTTTGTGGTTTTGATTTGCATTTCCCTGATTAGTGATGCTGAGCATTTTTTTCATGTATCTGTTGGTCATGTGGATATTTTCTTTGGAGAAATATCTATTGCTGATTTAAAAAAAAAAAACTCTCAGCAAGCTAGATAAAGAAATTTTCTCGAAGTGATGGAAAGCATCCACAACAAAACATATAAACAATACTATATTTAATGGTGAAAGCGTAAATGTTTAAACCACATAGATTAGGACAAGAAAGGGATGTGTGTGTTCATCACCTCTATTCAACATTGTACTGGTGATCCTAGATTTTGAGTATAAATATTTAGGGGACAACTATTGTCACTGAAGCCCAAATCTTGGTCATCCTCAGAAAAAAAAAAAAGTTGATTAGGTTGTATATAATCTAATTTTACTTGCTAATTTAATTTCTCTAAAATTGCAGCTTGTATCAACTCTAGAATTTATTGGGCACCTCCTAGGACATAAACACTGGAATTTGGTGAGAGACGTCAAATAGGAAAGAACCTGGCTCTGACATAAATTCAACACACGGAGGGGGACACATGTTATGAGACTGACCTGGCCTCTTCATCTCATAAAAGGGGTTCTTGTTGCTTGTAACACAGATTAAAACTATTTCAATTACATTCAAGATAAAAAGATTAGCAATGGTATGTAAGATGAAAAAATCACCCCGCTGGAAGACGAAAGTCTCACAAAAGGATATTTAAGCTAGCCAACACTTTGAAATTCAGGCAGAGATCGTGATTTCTGGGTGAACTAAAGTAGCAAGAACAAAGTAGAGGCTCCAATTCTAGGAAAAATGGGTCCTAATAAGGTTTACAATCCAGAAACTCAAGATATCCAGACAGAAGGATGCAGTCTCCGCTTTCAAGGCAGCAGCAGTACCTGGATTACTAAGCCAATCCCCAACACAATCATAAACACAAATTTGATTGAGGAAGAAGCTTGCCCACCAGAAGATTTAGGTTATTACAAGGTAGAATGTGATAGAGAAAATGAGCATGGGACTGGAAAGAAAAGGAGGTAGCCCCATGATTACAACTGGAATATATGTGTCAGCGATGGTGCGGAAATAAGACTGAAGAGAGAGATCCTTAAACCCCACGTGCCTTACATCAGGACTAATCCTGGACACAGGCTGGAAAGCATAGCCTACAGGTGGTGAGGCAGGAGGAGTGGGCTCAGCTGTGAGAAGGAGAAGGAAATATGGCTGAAAACTAGATAGGGGTCTTGAAATCACACCGAGGATTTGGGCCTTTGCTGCTGTCTGCCAGCAGCTGCCAGTAGTTCTCACACTTTGGCTGGCAACAAAATCACCTGGGGCAGTGGTGCGGAAGCGGGGGGAGTGTTGTAAAACCACAAGTGACCAGGCAAAAAACACCTGTATGTTTTCCAATTCAGTAAGTACAGAAATATTAATTGGAAAAAGGTGGAGGTCAGACATTGATAGTGCTGTGGACTGCTCCAGGGACGTAAGCATGATCTTTAGAGAGGTGACTCTAATCAATTGAGGGCAACCACTGGACAGAAAGAGGTCCAGACCAACCATACACAGAGACATCATACAACTACACTTTAGCAACCTCTCCAAATAACATGTCTCTTAGTGAAACTTGGGAGGTTGCAAGTTAAAAACATAAAATCCAGTGGCATTTATGTATCCTAGGCACTTACATTTGTCTGATTCTTCCAACTTGCCTTTGCTTGGTTAGAGTTTTGGGTAGATAAGAGGTGGATTTACATGTGCTAGTGTGAGAACTTTGATACACTCATTTAGACATTGACCTACTATCTTGTTTGAAAGCTAAAACCCAAAGAAATTTGTCTTCTTACATAAAACAAATTCAGCCCTTGCCTTCCTTGTAGATTACATCTTCCACTAGCAGTAATAAAAAAGTAACAATATGCATAAGTCAAAGTATCTTCTTAGATCCTCTGTAGTGTTTTATTATTTAGTTGTGTTAATTAAAGTAACTGTCTCAAAATTTCAAGGAATGCCTGAGAAGAAATTCATGTTCAAAGGCTGCCCTCTTGTGACAATGTGTTGTATGCTTTACTGTAAAAGTAACCTTATTTTACCTTATAACCTCTACAATCCAATTCATAACAGCATAAAAAGGAAACAAAACCTTACATAATTTTGAATTTTAAAAAGTACCTTGTTTATATGGCTCCTTTAGCTAATGAATAGTCAATTTGGTAAATATTCAAGTGAGTTGAAGGTTTGAATATCTCACTTAACTAGCTTGATGAATGTATTTCTAAACCTATACAACCCACTCCTCTGCTTTTAAAAAATTAAAGTTAGCTGTAGATTGAGATGTCAGTGACACAGTTCATAGAACATAACTTAGATTGTCATCTACATTACTGTAACTACAAATACCACCCTCAGATGGAAGAATAAGTTTTATCAGTGAACATCTCTAATTGAACTATAAATGGTGTATGTCTTCTGGTTTTTACAAGCTCTTGGTCTAACACAGGGGATATATGATGTAAAAATTACAAAGCAAGGTCACTCACGGTGGCTCATGCCTGTAATCCCAGCACTTTGGGAGGCCAAGGCGGGCGGATCACAAGGTCAGGAGATCGAGATCATCCTGGCTAATATGGTGAAACCCCATCTCTACTAAAAATACAAAAATTAGCTGGGTGTGGTGACACACGCCTGTAGTCCCAGCTACTCAGTAGGCTGAAGCAGGAGAATCGCTTGAACCCAGGACGCGGAGGTTGCAGTGAGCCGAGATCGCACCACTGCACTCCAGCCTGGTGGCAGAACAAGACTCCATCTAAAAATAAATAAATAAATAAATAAATAAATAAATAATAAAATAGCAGTGACTATAATGTTTTGTGATGTTAAACTTTGAGAGCTTTTTTTTTTCTTTCTTTTCCCAAGTGCCTTTCCCAGTTCCAGGAGCAGAGTTATTCTAAGCCCACTGATGTAAAGGAATAGAAAGAAAAGGTTTGTTGGAAAACCTAATAACCTGCTTTCTGTCTTTTGTTTTTTAAAAGCTTGAGCATTTGGGAGAATTTGGAAAGATTGTGGAGTAAGTGCAAAGAAGGAATTTGTTAACAAAAATCATATAGGGTAAAATGAGTTTTTTCCAGGTTAGAAAATATCCACTCCCTACCCTCCTACATTCCTTTCCCATGGTTAAGAAGAGGAAAAAACAAAGGCTTCTTGGTGAGCAGTGGTGACTTAGGCAGTTTCTTAGAAATATTCTAGAAGGCATAGTCATCTTTTAAAAAAAAAATAGCTACAAGGATATGTCTAAGCAGAAGGGTCCATGGGCCAAATTACGTGTAGATTTTTGCATTCCAAATATGGTAAAGAAGAAGCAGGAAGCTGGGGCTCCTTAACAGGTCACACAGAAATGGACAAGGAAGAGGCCAGCAGCAGCTTGTGGGGACAAGATGTCAAGCCCCAAATGTTAAACCCACCAACCATCCTCCAAATTCTGGCTCTGTTTAACAAGGCTGTGGTCTGACACTACATGCCGCCTCAGTGACTAAAGCATAATTTCCCGTCTCCTGGGAGTGTTGACAGCTGACTCCTGGCAACAATACTCACAGCACAGTAAAGTTCCTTCATCCAAGTTCATGTCCCTTCTCAAGGCATCCCACATCCGAGAACTGCTTGGTACAGAAATATAATGGCCTGGTTTTCTTGCTCCAATTCGAGGTCATTAGGTAAACTCACCAAGATCTTGTAGAGTGGACTGCGGCCATGATAGTGATTGCATTCCAGCCGACTTCCTGCTCCACCCAATCCTATTGCTTTCACTCTTCCACAGGTGTTGGGAATATCATTTCAACCTCCTTGCATGCAAATCTCCAACTCGGAGTCGGCTTCCTAGGACACCTGACTGGTGATATCTCTATCACTATCACAGTACTTAGAGGGGAGCATCTTAAAATGATTGAAGGCTAACTGCCCTAACAGCACAGGCAGATGATGGCTTAAAATAGAATTTAAGTGGATTTAAAAAAACATGAAAAAAGTTGACATTGCACGCTCATATGAGCTTATGGATCAAACCATGTGTATGATTTCTAAGATCCCTCGTGCAGTATATATTTGCACTGTTTATAAATGACATCCCCTTGAATTGAATTCAGTGCAATTCAAAACAGTAATTTGTGGGAAAAATTAGATATGCAGATAACCTGGACTCTAGAGAAGCACACATCATTTGGAGAATAATAGTGAACCAGCTAGTCTATGAGGGAAGAAAACAGAGTGAATATAGACTATTAGTGAACAAGGATATTTTCCCATGTATATTCAAATTAAGGTGAACTTCTTTAGAGAATTGTGCCTTAGAAAGAAAAAGTATTTCCCTATATTTGAGTCCTCACAAGTTTTCCTACGATGAGTGCTTTTGTGATTATTTTGAATAACAAAGTAATATTTAAAGAAACTCTCTTGCCCTGAATGTACTTTAATTTATGTCAATTGATGTTGCATATAGAGATCATCAGAGTCAAGCTACAAGAAAAAGAGGAACATAACTTAGCAAAGACTTAGAGGATTAGTCCTAATAGTGTGAAATCAAAATTTCAAGTGAGGGAATAAATGCAGCTTTTAATGATTACTTAAATGAAGTTTAACTCTAGCAGGATCTACAAGAAATTGGCAACCTTTGGCTTCAGTAACAGAAACTCAGGATATATGCCCTTCAGTGAGTTTGCATTCTGCATCATATTGAGAGACACTCCTTTAAACAGCAATAAGAAACTTCCTGTGACAACATAATAAATTCAAAAAGTTCTGTAACTCAGACAATTTAGATAGAAGTGATAACTTTGGCCTATAAAGCCCTGTTCACCCTAAAGATGGATTAAACAATGAAAAAGATATTGATATCAAAAGTTCAATCAGTAATTTGATTAAAGCATTTCATTAAATGTGATAATTTCTTAGTATATTATCTTACATATGCAATATTCATGTGTAACAAATTATATACAAGTAAACATTTGACCATATTATCTGCAGCATAATTTACATATCAATTTACATATTCAGTTTTGCTCACATGAAAACTTGGATCTTATCAATAAGAAAATTTGTGAAATCTTTAATTCCTCATCCCCAGGAATGTAAATAAATAAATATAAATACTGTAAGTCAGTGATTTTTTCCTAGGAAGACAGTAAAAATACTTTACACGCCTTCTCATTGTAAACCTAAATAACAAACAGAGAAAGGCTCTCTGAAGGAAAAAGACACATCTTAGAGAGGAGGGCACTGCAATGGGAATATGCATGACAAAGCAAACTATATAGATTCAAATGGTAAAGGAAGACAAGGACTTTAAAAGAAAAATGATCAACCTGGAAGTATGGGGGAGTAGAAAAAAATAAATAAGGGAAAATGAAGAGGCTTCTATAATTGTTTTGATATAGTTACCTTTGACTATAAAGATCAACAACAAAGTCAATATCAGTTGAAGTTTGGGCAGGCGGTTGCTGGATAGATGTCCTCACAGAAGTGTATTTTGTGTAAGGTTGCTATGGCCTTTGTGCAAGGTTGTGGTTTTTGTGGTATTTTGTAATAGTTTTTATCAGGCCTAGAAGCATGAGAACCCTCTCTTCAAGGCCTTCTCTGAATCTATTTGTTCAGGTTTCTTCTTCTCTTTTTAAACATTAGTGACAGTTTTGATTCTGATAACTTTCATATCATGATCCCTAATTTCAAAAAAAATTAAACGTGTAACTTATTTATGATGTATTTGATAGGCTTGGATTTGTGAATCACCTCTACTATCTATAGTGGTAGATATATCTGAGCCTGCTTACACAGCACTTCCATCAGATTCTCTCTTCAGTGGAATTGGAAGAGGGGGTTTTGGAGAAGGGAATGAAGGAATTGTGCTGCATCAGAGGTCCCCACCTAACAGCACAGGGCCTTTTTCTGTGCTCTTGCCAGGCCGTTGTATTGGCTGATGCAAAAGTAATTTTGGTTTTGTCATTGAAAGTAATGAGACCATCTGACTTACAATGTCTGTGCCATAACCAGCTCCTAATAGCCTCCGAGGACAGCTTTGCCCTGACATATACTGTCCTGGGACCACGTCTGCTTTGTAACTCCTGAGGTAGCTGCCACCATGACCAATGCCTTCTCATCTTTACTCTACATGCAGGTAACAGTTATAATTATATCTCTGTATATTCACAGAACATTTAGTACATCTGGGACTTCTACAAAATTTCCCTAGCTGATTTTGGTGTTCTGGGGTACTGGCAGCTCTAGCCATGAAGGGATGATGCTTTATCAGCATTTCTGTTGAGTTTTTTGCTTTTTCTCACAAACTGATTCCACTTTTCCCACATACGTTTGACAATTCATTTGAACTCATTTATTCTAAACCCATTATTTCTGGTCTATTATTTAATAGGAAGGGAGGCGAGGGATAAAAGATTACAAATAGGGTGCAGTGTACACTGCTCGGGTGATGGGTGCACCCAAATCTCACAAATCTCCAGTAAAGAACTTACCCATGGAACCAAATACCACCGTACCCCAATAACCTATGGAAAAAAATAAAAAATAAAGTAAAAAAGAGTCAGAAAGAAAGAAAATAATCACTGTACTTCCCAAGACACTTAGAAATGGTGACTAGCATTATTTGTAAGTGTCACCTAATAATATTATTATTTTTTCTTTATGCTACAAACTAGCTCTGCTATTACAATCACTACTATTTGAAGTGTTACTAAATTAAATTAAATCTATTGTATCCTTCTGGACTCAGAAATGGGGGTAAATGCTAAGACAATTTCAGAATATGATC